>NC_000024.10:5441996-5742405 GCF_000001405.40 Homo sapiens | reverse complement strand
AAGTGATTGAAATTATGTTCAAGTCAGAAATTATATTGAAGGAGTTTTCAGAGTGAACAAAAATATGCTAAATCCAAAATGTACCATTGAAAAAGGGTATTTTCTATATACATTTGAAAATCTATTTAAAATAAAGTGAATCATTTGAGTTTTGAATTAACACACACAATAAAAATGAATGTTTATTTCTCATAACTTTTATTAATATATATTAATAAGAAAACATGCAATACAGAACCTGAAATAGAACAATTAATACAAGTTTGCTTCTGGATTACATACTGCCATCCTTGGCCATACAATAGTCAACCTTCTTACTTCCAAAGCATGCTTGGAACTGCTTTGGGATACTGTTCACTTTCAGATGCTGTATGATATCACAGAGGAGGAATCTTCCCACAATACAAACATAAATACATATTTCATAAAAATCTTAATATTTTAAGCAGGGATAGTATAAATTTCACACAGTTTACTCTTTAAAAAGTATCACTTACAGTCACTAAACAATTGCCATTAATTTTTTTTATTTGTGCACATACATTTTTCTGAGCAGATTTTTTTGTTACTGTTTCTGCTGTTGTCAACTTGAACTGCTTTTAAAAATCATATTTACTAAAAGCACATGACGGTTAGTGTAAGAAAGCTACTGTGAAAGAATATTTTAAGGCCTCTGCATAAAATTGATCTGGTGTGGTAATTGGCACATAATATAGAAAGGTTCTTGCAGAAATATATTTCAGCTTCTCTTGTTCCCATGTTTTCCCAGCCAATTGAGCCAGTTGGAAACATTCAAAATAGTTTCTAATGGTCATAATAAAAAGTTTACCTAAACTAACTATAAATTTGGTTTCCAAAAAATATAAAAGAAGATAAGAAATAATAATTATAATAAAAAATATAAATCAGAAGAGTATAAATAAAAGTCTAAACAAGTAGATTTTCATAAATGTGTATTAGGGAGTATACACACCTTCAGTAATACCATGAAAAAGAAACAAACAAAAAAAACTAATGTTGAAATATCCATGTGAGTAAAACACCTTTAATTTTCTCAGGATTGAAAAGGATTTTTTTGTGTGTGTGACATAATTACATTTTAAGAACTGAACAATTTGTGATTTGTTTAGTCTATTTTTTTCCCATTTAATGACCATGTGTGATAAATATTAGTTTGGGAAGGCAGAGGCTCTTTGTAACTGCTACCATTACACAATAGCACTAACCATTTATTATTATTTTCTAACCAAATTTACATAATTAAAAGTAAAATGTTAAGTAAATAAGAATACACAAAATTACTCTCTAAATTTATTACATTGTAGATATCATATGTAAAAGCTAATTTTTAATACACTGACACAATATTAGTTAAAACACAGGTAAAGTTTAAGAAAAGAATGTGTATGCACGTAGCATATAAGATACTTAGTATTTGAATACATACTCACAAGTGTGATATAGTAATACCATAGCTAGAAAATTAATAATCACAATCTAATGGAATATGGACACAAAATAGAATAACTACTTTGATTGAACATATTATTCTCATATAAGTCATTCAGTTTGAAGTTTTAATTTCAAATCAAACAAAATCCTTTTTAAAACAGAACCATTTTTCGATTGTTGCTTCAGTAAGACGTTTTGCAGTTGTGGGACTACATACATCATACATCACAATAGCCACTTGTGTGCTGTGTCAACCTATACCACTGTCTATTCAGTCAAAGAAATAACTTGTAATGTGATGAAAAAGATATCATCAGATCTGAAGCCGTAGAAGTAACAGATT
Source organism: Homo sapiens (assembly GCF_000001405.40). Classification (NCBI taxonomy): domain Eukaryota; kingdom Metazoa; phylum Chordata; class Mammalia; order Primates; family Hominidae; genus Homo; species Homo sapiens. The sequence goes on along the minus strand of NC_000024.10, from coordinate 5,740,610 downwards.
TCCAAGGCCAGACCTAGTGGACGCTTAGGAAGAGAAGGCATAGGGGAGAATAACTGGGCTAATACCCCTTGCCTCTTTGGCTACTCTCAGCCTGCTTCCATTCAAAGCCTCTCTGGTAAAAACCAAGAAGAGGGTGCCCAGTCATTTAATATTCTAAACACAATCTAAGTCTGATTATAAAATCAGAGTTAGAAAGGGTAATAAAAGCGTATTGGTTCATTCCTATATCTATAGGAAAGGTGTCAAAACTTCACAAGTTTCCAGATATGAGGATTTAAGAACCTCCCTAGTAACTCAATAAATTATACTGTCAGAAGAAAAATCCCAAATATCCAACTTTGAGTCCTATTTGATTTTCACTAACATAGATAGTAACCATTGAGATGCCTGATAAGTTATTTAATAATCTTTCAACCTCTTCTTTTTATATCCTTTAAATGTGTGTGTGTGCACGTGTGTGTGTGTGTGTGTGTATGTGTGTGTGTAGATCATCAGAAAACTAAAGGTTTGCAGAGAGAAAATGTGAAAATAATTAAAACACAAGAAAAAATCTCACATCATCTTTGCAGGTTTTTTGAGGCAAAGAATGTTCTAAAATCTACTGGAAGCACTGATTTTTGTCACTATTGGTTCTTTTCTTAATCTTCCCCAAGTTTACAATTTTCAACATCAACAATAGCCACAATATCAACACATTTGTGTGATAATAATTTAATAAACATTCAAATATCATCAGTCCTTCGGGATTCACATGCACCTGGAAAACCAGTATGCTCCAAATCCCTTGGAACATTAACAACACGAAGGAGAAAAAAAATTAATTAATTTTATTAATCAAACTCTGATAGTTAATAGTTAAGAAGTTATTCTGCACGCCCAGTCAAATATGACTTAAGGAACTTTACAATGGATGGGAATAATGTATATTCTGAAAACGCTACTTAACCTGCTGGGCACATGAAAAGAAACTTTCTCAATATTCAAAGGAAATCCTCACCAATGAAATTATGCAATTACCACAGTTTATGTTACAAAATTACAGTTTAATCATAAATTAAATATCAAGTTATACATTACAAAATCTATGTCTAAGTTAATCAATAGGAGATATTGACTCCCCCCCAACCCCAACCGCCCCCATTAAACATCAATTGTCTCTTGGTTTAGTGTTATACTGAAACAAGGTATTTTCTCAGTTTTGCTATGGAAGAAAATCAAGTTGGTGATGTTTCTGTACATTTATAAAATGTGCACATACAAGATAATGGCCAGTTAAGAGGATAAAAGAAGGAAATAACAGACAACAGGAGAAAACTAATGTTTTCTATGAATAGTACTGTTTCTTTGCTTAGAAGAATATATTTTATTTCATATATGAGATTTTGATGGTTTTTGTTCTGTGTGTGTTATTGGTATTTCTTCTTGACTGCAAGAAGCAGTCATGTGCCTTATTTCTCCCTCTGCATTTTTCCTTAAAATTCTGTTTGATGTAGATTTATAATTACATTTCTTGAAAAGTTCCTTCCTGATATTCTTGTTGTTATTAGTGGTTTTCTTCAGTAAGTTGAGCTAGAATAACAAAAATCCCTTAGTCTTATAGATTTAGTATGTGGTTTTATCTACAGTTACATGTATTTGTTATTTTTACTGAACACCCTTTGGTAACAGCCTATTGAGCTGTCAAATCAACATTTAAATCTTCCTGAGTTTCTCTACAAAATAGTAGTTTACCGTCGATATTTTAAGTGACTCGTGCTTTGGATGCATCCACCTCCTTTTAATTTTCTAGGCTGTTACATACAAATTCCCAGAAGTAAAGACCCAAGTAATAATGGACTACAGGCTTAAAATGTCAGATACAGTTTTATTTCTGATGTACTTTACACTAAACTATTAAAGTAAAAAGGGGCCCTTTTTAACAAATAGTTGCTTAATTAGGGCAGTTATTGCACTTCTGTGTCTCGAACTCTACTAAAGAGTAGAGAAATAGGTTGTAGATCTAGATCTGTACAGTTTATACATATTCTTTATTGAAAATGTATATACAAATTTTATCAACAATATAGTATTGGAATAAGGTAGAAAACATGACAGCAGAGAGACACAAACAAGCAGTATTTACACTACCTACTGTGTATTTTGAAGGGAGACTCACTAACAACAACAAAAAAACTGAAAACCACAAACAAAAATCAAAAAGAAAGCCCCAAAAAAGGCTAGAGTACGTATACCTTTTAACATTATCTGAACAAAAGTTTAGGTAAACTAAAGGTAAACTTAGAAAATAAGATATTTCTAGGCTTTCCATTTGCTACATACTGGTTCCACACAATCAGCATGGAAACAAATCAGTAATATTGCACATGATGATAAAAACAACAAAAAATACTGTACATCAGAAATAGTACGCTCTGTCATGATAAGCCTTACTGTACAAGGGGATGCAAATTGTTAAATTCCTTTTCTTTTTAAATACACATTCTGAATTAAACAAATTGCAATTTTTTGGTTAACTATTGACTAAGGGTCTAGCTGTAGATTTATTCTGGTATCTGTTTCTATTTACATAGTTATTTACAAATCTGATAATCAGAATACTCATTGGAATTGTATCTTAAATTTTGACTATATACATCTTTTCTGAAAATTTGAAGTAACTATTTTAGCTTTACAAGGGATGTGTTTCCATAATGGGGGAATCACCTCTGGACGGTCTGGCCTGTTGGCGTGGAGCGAAGGTTGTCAAAGGAATGACTTTAATTGAATCATCACTGGGATGAAGTCTTTCAGACATGGTGTAAAACTGAGATGTTGCACTACCTTGCACTCCCTGATCAACAGAGCATAGTCCATTAGCACCTTGCACCCAACCTTGCTGCAAACTGACTGATGATTGGGCCTGACTACGATGGAGGGCAATAACCTGTGGCAGAGAAGAGCTGTGGCTGATTGCAGCAGCCTGTGCTAAAGGAGGGCTGTAGCAGAGGGCTGAGGCCTGTGCTGATGGTGGGCTGTGGTGAAGTGCAGTACCCTGCACTAGAGGAGGACTGTGGTGGAGAGCAGACACCTGTATCGGTGGTGGGCTGTGGCACAATGCGATGGTCTGTGTCACTGGAGGGCTGTGGCAGAGAACAATGGTCTGTGTCACTGGTGGGCTGTGGTGCTGAGTAGAGGCCTGTGACAGTGGTGGGCTGTGGCATAGAGCAGAGGCCTGTGCTTGTGAAGAGCTGGAATGATCCAGAGATGCCGGCATCCAGCAGGCATCAGAATGGCCATAGATGAGACATTCTTGAGTGCAGTTGTCAGAGGCCTCTTCCACAGTTGGTTGAACAGTTATTTCTGCAGTTGTTGGGGTGAGGAAAAAAATAATAAAATTTATATTTCAAAGGCATATTTTTATTAGCTACTTAAATATCATTGTGACAAAAAAGGTAACAACCTATATACAAATGCATTAAAGACTTCCATTATTTATAGAGTTGGTATTTTTAATTTGTCAGTAATTCTTAGGGAAGTATAAATGACTTGGAGTGGGTGGATGAGGTCTCATTATCATAATTGGGATCCTTTGGCCTAGTATCCCAAATGTAGGTATTTTTTATTGTATCTGTGACCCTCAAGGAAACTATGATCATTCATCTATACATGCAAGTCAGCTGAAATATGGCTTCTAACTAGCACTGAGAGAGGACATAAAAGAGAAATTAATTGGAAAACAAATTATAAGAATATATAATGAACTAATTATAGCTAAAAAATAGTTAGCTAATAATAAATTACATAAATTTGGAAGTATAGTTTATTGAACTCTAAGATATGCCTTAGTTTCAAGAATAAAATATAGTCATAATTATTTCAAAAATAAGTGATTTCGGTATTCTTTATTTGCTGGAATCATCTTAAAATACAAGTTAGGAACATAATAAACTAGAGATCCAAGTATTTAGCTGTAAACTATAATAGTTTATAATACTCTTTTTATGAAATTTCTCTATAGTCTTCAAATGTCAATAGATATCAAACATCAATAAAAATATTATACAAATTTTAGTGAAATAGAGATGGAGTTACTATATCTATATAAAGTTTACTTGAGAGCAAGAAATGCTATCCAGTATAAAGAAATACATTATATGACAATAAAAAGATCAATTCTCTAAGAAGACGTATCAATCCTGTGTGTATGCACCTTACAACAGAGCTTCAAAATATAAGCAAAATAAGCTAGAAATGAAAGGATAAATAGACATATCCACAGTAATACTTGGAGACTACAATACTCCTTAGAACTTGATGGAAAAAATAGAAAATCAGTAAATGCATAGAAGACTTGAGCAACATAATCAACCAACTAGATCAAAATTTATATTAGTAGAACTATTCAATTTTAGCAAATTAGAAACAGGGGAATATCTTCAAATTGACATGCAGGTCCTACACAAAGATAACAGCTGACACGATATTCAAAGGTTAAATATTGAATACTTTTCCCCAAAAATCAGAAACAGTAAGGTTGACACCACTCCTATTTGACATAATATTGTAAGTTCTAGCCAATGAAATAAAGCAAGAAAAAGAAATGAAAGACATACAGATTGAAAATAAACAACACTGTATCTATTCACAGACACATTTAGGTATACATGTAACAAAATGTGTGTGGAATCTGTGTGCTTAAAATTAAAAAAAAGATGAAAAAAATAAAGAAAATCTAATTAAATGGAGAGATATACCATGTTCTTAGCTTGGAATATTCAATATTGTTATGATGTCAGTGGTCCCACAATTGATCCGTAAAGTCAACATAATCTAAATAAAAAGGAAATCTTAGATGGATCTTCTGTTTTTGCAGATATCAACAAGCTGATGCTATAATTTATGGGGAAAGGTAAAGGAATTAGATTAGCCAACCAATTTTGATTAAAAAAAACCTATTTGTGGACTCACATGATCTGATTTCAAGATTTACTATAGCACGTACCTAATCATTACAATGTAATAATAGCAAAATAATAAATACAAAATGATTAATAAAAATACAATAATCAGTCCAGAAATAGATCCACAAAATTCTAAAGTGATTTTCAACAAAGGTCTGAATTCAATGGTGAAAGTATAGACTTTTCAACAAGTGCCAACAGAATGATTATAGGTTATAAGCAGAAAATTAAAACTTGACCCACATCTTTAATCTTATAAAATAATTAACCTGGAATCAATCAAAAGTCTAAATGTAAAATGTAAAACTATACAACTTCTATTAGAAAATATTGGAGAAAATCTTTGTGACTATCAGTTAGGCAGCATTCTTAACTACAACATCAAAAGCACAATTTATTTTTAAAAATATGCTAAGTTGAGCTTATTTGTAATTAAAAATATTTACTTTGCAAAAGGCAATGTGAATGAATGAAAAGGCAAGCTACAGACTGGGTAAAAATATTTGCAAATCACATTTCTGACAAGGGAGTTATATATTTAAAAAAGGATGTAAACTAACAATAGATTTTTTTTCCAAGATGACTGATTAAATCCTTTTATCATGCCTCAGTGACTTGGAAATAGCAAGATAGTGCATAAAGATCAACTTTGTGAGCTTTAATTCAAGAAGAAAAATGAGAATCCACCAGTATTGTGAAGGGGGCCCCAGCGGGGAGGACATGGGAAAGCAGTCCATGTGATGGCATCCAGTTGATAAAAGTAAGTGAAGCCCCAGTACATGAGAGAGACAGAGAGCCTCCCTCTGTGACTCACCTTTCTACTGGGGATCTGAGCAACCCAAGAGGAGGGAGAATATTTTGTTTCTTTAAAGTCCTGGTGCTAACCTGGGGAGAGGCTTGGAGACCTGAGGGGAAAACACCAGGAAAAACTACAGAAATTTGCCCAGGCCAAGGACTGACAGCAGGATGCCATTTATAATCCAGGCACATACAAAATCAGCCATTCCTTTGAGACCTAGCAGTATGGCCATGCAGGTATTTTAATCTCAGGCCAGAGATTGGAACACCTGCTCTGGAGCAGGGTAGGGGCTTCCATAGCCAGAACTGTAGAAAGCACCACAGCAGTAGGTACCAGAATTGTACACTCCCCTGTTGAAGCCCTGGGGCAGGAGAAGAGCTGCTATAGCTGTGTTTTCTCCTGGATGATGACACTTTCATTCAAGGCCAGCTGGCAACCTGAAACTGACTTGCGTATGCCATTAATGGGTGCCACAGCATGCTCCCCTTGAGATGTGGTATAGCAGGGCCCTCTCCGTTCCACCTCCATGCAGAAATCCAAGCATCTGGAGCGCCCACTTGCTTGAATCAGCAATCTGAGTTGCCCCACTTTTCATGGACATAAATTGTGGTATAGCAGGCACTTCGCACTCAATACCCAAACAGATCTCCAGGTGTTTGAAGCACTTCCTCACCTGGATCAACAGCTTTACCTGCCCCTATTTCTGTGCATAGATGGTGGTGCAGTGGGGCTTTCATCACAACACATGCAGACAGAACTCCAGGAATTTGGAGTACTTGCTCACATGGACTAGTAGCCTGAGCAACACCCCCCTTGTTGGCCATGGATCATGGTGCAGTCAAGCCCTCTACATTTTATGCCCAGGCAGATCTTCAGACATTCAGATCACTCACTCACCTGGTTCAGCAACCTGGAGCTGCCCACCCCTACTATGCAGAGATCTTGGTGAAGGGTGGTTCTCTCTGCTTCACAAACAGGCATCTCTCTCTGCTCCACACCCAGGCATATCTCCAGGCATGTGGAGCACTCGCTCTCTGACCTGGATTAGGAATTTAGGCCTCCCCTAATCCCTGTCCAGAGAACTTGGGGCTGAGGAGGTTTCCCAGCTCCATGCCTAGACACACCTTTGGGTGTTTAGTGGCTGTCCACTGGATCCTTGCTAAGTGCTGGTGTTTGTGCCTGACATCAGGGGACATTTAGGCAGGCCATGCTAATCTTGGACCTGTCCTAACATAGGACAGAGCAAGGAGCTCAGACAACTGTGCACTCCACAGATCAGCCCATTGCCTAAGATGAGAGAGAGCTTCTCCCAGTAAACAAGGATCATGTATATACCTAGCCACATCGGGTACAGCCAGCTCTCACCCATAAGTACCATCTACTGGCTTGTAGGTTGAACTACACACATCAATATAAAACCTGTCAACGAAACTACATAGGGTTACAGAAGCAAAGACAAGTGACCATACCCAGCATTCACTACAGTCACACCCTGTAGGGAGGAGAGGAAAGGGAAAGGGAAAGAAAAAAAATAATAATGTTACACTGAAATAAAAAACAAAAGAAAATATCCTAACACAAAATTACAAAAATTAGAAGTGCCAACATTCTCAGATGAGAAGAAACCAATGCAATAATTCTAGCACTATGAAAAATATGAATGCAGTGACATCACCATAGAATTGCAGTACCCCTCCACCAATGGTCCTTAACCAAAATGTAAATGCAGAAATCACAAAAAGAATTCAAAGCATGGATTTCAAGGAAGCTCAGTGAGATCCAAGACAAGCTGAAAATGAACACAAATAACTTCTAAAGCAATCCGGGAAATAAAGAAAGAGATAAACATCTTGAAAGAAAGCAATCAGAACTTCTGGATTTGACAAACTAACTTAAGGAATTTAAAAAATACAATTGAAAGCTTTATCAATAGACTGTACCAAGAAGAAGAAATAATTTCAGAGCTTAAAGACCAGTATTTTGAAATAACATAGCCAGATAAAAATAAAGAAGAAAAGAATTTTAAGAAATAAGCAATGTTTTTGAGCAATATTAGATGATGTAAAGCGAAGAAACCTGCAAATTACTGGCATCCCTGAGGAAGAAGTGGACAATGTAGGTAACTTGGAAAACAATATTTGAGGTAACAATTCAATAAATGTTCTCTGATCTTGCTAGAGAGACAGATATCCAGATTCAAAAAATCCAGAGAACATCTGAGAGATATAATACAAAATGAGTATCACCAAAGCATATGGTCACAAGACTGTCCAGGTTTAACACACACACACACACACACACACAACAACAACAACAAAAAACTTAAAGGCAACTAGAGAAAAACGTCAGATCACATACAAACGAACCCCATCAGGCTAGCAGTGAACTTCTCAGCAGAAACCTTAAAGCTAACAGAAATTGGAGGCCAATTTTTAATATTCTTAAAAACAAGAAATTCCAACCAGGAATTTTATATCCCACCAAACTATGTTCCATAGGCAAAGGAGAAACAAACGATTTTACAGACAAGCAAGCCCTGAAAAACTTTGTTACCAGCAGGCCAGCCTTACAAGAGATTATTGAGGAAGTTCTAAACATAGAAATCATAGCAGCTAGCAGGAAAACAAACTTAAATACATAGCCCAAAGACCCTATAAAGCAACCACAAAATAGGAAACACAAAGCAAACAGCTAACAACTTCATGATAGGATTAAAACCTCAGATATCAATATTAACCTTGAATTTAAATGGCCTGAAGGTCCAATTTAAAAGATATGGAGTAACAAGCTGCATTAAAAAGCCCTATCAGTCTGCTGTCTTCAACAGACCCAACACACATGCATAAACATCCATAGACTCAAAGTAAAGATCTAGAGAAAGATCTACAGTGGAAACAGAACACAAGAACAGGGGTTGCTATTCTTATATCAGATAAAACAGAGTTTAAAGCAATAACAACAAAAAGAAGGGTATTACATAATGGTTAAGTGTTCAATTCAACAAGAAGACTTAACTATACACATACATATGCACCCAGTATTGGAGTGTTTTCTTCTTATAAAACAAGTTTTTCTTGGTCTACAAAAAGACTTAGAAAGCCACACAATAATACTGGGGGATATCAACATCCCACTGACAGCATTAGACAGATCATCAAGACAGAAAACTAACAAAGAAATTCTGGACTTGAATTTGACACTTAACCAGTTGGACCTAATAAACATGCACAGAATACTCTACCCAATATACATGTATATACAGAATATATAAAGCATAGTCTCAATAAATTAAAAAAATTGAAATCATACAAACTATTGAAAAAAATAAATAAGATTGACAGGCTACTAGCTAGATTAACAGGAGATGACCCAAATAAGCACAGTCACAATAGACAAAGGTGGCATTGCAACTGATCCCACAGGAATTCAAAAGATCCTCAGAAAATATAAACACCTCTGTGCACACAAAATAGAAAATTTAGAGGAAATTGAGAAATTGCTGGAAGCACACAATCGCCCAAGATTGAATCAGGAAGAGATTGAAACCGTGAACAGATCAATGCTGAGTTTTGAGATTGTATCAGTAATTTTAAACACTACCAAACAAACAAACCAAAAACAAAACCCAGACCAGATGGATTCAGAGCCAAATTGTACCAGACATACAAAAAAGAGATGTTACCAATGCTACTGAAACTATTAAAAAAAAATTCTAGTAGTTAGGGACTCCTCTCTAACTCCTTCTATGAGGCCAGCATCATCCTGATACAAAAACCTGGCAAAGACACAACAAAAAATGAAAATTATAGGCCAATATCTCTGATTAACAAAGACACAAAAATTGTCAAAAAAAATATACTAGGAAACTGAATCCAACAGCACTTCAAAAAATTAATTGACCGTGAAGACTGTGATCAAGTAGGTTTCATTCTTGGGATGCAAGATTGGTACAGCATATGCAAATCAATAAATGTGATTCACCGCATAAACAGAAGTAAATTTAAAAAAAATGTGATCATCTCAATAGACACAGAAATAGCTTTTGATAAAATCCAGCATCTCTTCATGATAAAAACTTTCATATATTAGTCACTGAAGGAACACACCTTAAAGTAATGAGTCATCTATGACAAACCCACAGCCAACATCATACTAAACAGGCAAAAACTAGAAGCATTCTTTTGAAAGCTAGAATAAGACAAGGATGCCCATCTTCAGTACTCCTATTCAACACAGTACTGGAAGTGCTAGACAGAGAAATCAGGAAAGATAAAGAACTAAAGGCATCTAATTAGGAAAAGAAGATGATAACCTATGTCGATTCATGGCCAGTAGGATTCAATATGTAGAAAACCCTAAAGAACATTGAAAGGCTCCTGGAACACAAAAGATTTAGCAAAGTTTCAGCATACAAAATCAATGTGCAAAAATCAGTAGAATTTCTATATATTAAAGCTGAGTGCTGGATCAAGAATAGAATTTTATTTGCAATAGCCAAAAAAAAAAGCTAGGAATAAATCTAACCAAGGCAGCAAGAGGCTTGTTTGTACAAGAAGAACTACAAAACACTGCTAAAAGAAATATTAGATGACACAAACAAATGAAAAAGTATCCTATGCTCATGGATTAGAAGAATAAATATAAAAATGGCCATACTATCCAAAGCAAAATACAGATTCAACACTCTTCTTATCAAACTACCAAAGTCATTTTTCCAGAATTTGAAAAAAAAAACTGTTCTAAAATTTATATGGAACCACAAAATAAGCCAAATAGCCAAAATAATCCTAAGCAAAAAGAACAAAGCTGGAGGCATCACATTATCTGATTTCAGACTGTACTATAAGGCTACAGTAACAAAAAGAGCACGGGACTGATGCAAAAGCAAACACATAGACCAATGGAACAGAAATAGAGAACCCAGAAATAAAGTTGCACACCTACAGCCATCTAATATTTGACAAAGTTGACAAAATTAAGCAGTGGGGAAAGGACTTTCTATTCAATAAATTGTGCTGGGACAGTTGACTAGCCACATGTAGAAGAATGAAACTGGACCCCTACCTATCACCATATACAAAAATTAACCTAAGATGAATTAAAGATTTAAATGTGAGACCAATAACTGTAAGAATTCTAGAAGGAACCATACGAAACACCATTCTGGACATTAGCCTTTGCAAAGAATTTATGACTGAATCCTTAAAAGCAATTGCAACAAAAACAAAAATTGACAAATGGGACCTAATTAAACTAAAGAGCTTCTGCAAAGCAAAATAAGCTATCAACCAGGTGAACAGACAACCTATAGAATGGGAGAAAATGTTCCCAAAGTATACATTCAGCAAAGGTCTACTATCTAGACTGTAGAGAATATAAACAAACAACAAGCAAAAAACAAAAGCCTCCATTCAAAAGTGGGCAAAAAATATAAACAGACACTTCTCAAAAGAAGACATACAAGGGGCCAACAAACATATAAAAAAAATTCCTCATCATTCTTCACCAGATAAATGCAAATCAAAACCACAATGAGAATCTATCTCACACCAGTCAGAATAGCTATTATTAAAAAGCCAAAAAACAACAGACGCTAACAAAGTTGAGGAGAAAAGAGAATTTTTATACACTATTGGTGGGAATGTAAATTAATTCAGCCTTTGTGGAGAGCATTTTGAAGATTTCTCAAAGAACACAAAACAGAATTACCATTCAACCCAGAAACTCTCATTACTGAGTATTATCTCCAAAAGAAAACAAATTGTTCTACCAAAAAGACACATGCACTTGCATGTTGACACAGCACTGTTCACAATAGCAAAGACATGGAGTCAACCTAGGTGACCATCAGTGGTGGACTGGATTTCTTATATATAGCACGCATATACCATAGGATATACGCAGTCTTTAAAAGAACAAACTATGTTATTTGCAGCAACATGGGTGCAGCTGGAGGCCATTATCCTAAGCAAATTAACACAGCAACAGAAAGCCAAATATTGCATGTTCTCCCTTATAAGTGGAAGCTAAACATTGGGTACTCATGGAAATAAAGACAGCAACAATAGACACTGAAGAGTATTAGAAGGGAGAGAGGGGAGAAAGCGTTGAACAACTATGAATATGATGAGATTATTCATACCCCAAACCTCAGCGTCACCCAATATACCCAGGTAACAAATCTGCACATGTACCCCCTGAATCAAAAATAATAGTTGAAATTTAAAAAACTAAAAAACAACAATAAGAAAATGAAGAACTCAATTAAAAAACTGGCAAATATCTGTATAGACTATCAAAGAAGACATGAATATGTCAGATAAGCATATAATTAGAGGCTCAGCACAGTCAGACATTAAAGAAACACAAATTTAAAATGCAAAGAGATACCATTCTATTTGAGTGATTAAAAGAACAAACTAAAAATACCAAGTGCTGGTAAGTATTCCAAACATCTAGAATCTTCAGTTGATGCTGCTGCTGACACAGAATGGCACAGAGAATTTAGATAACAGTTTGTCAACTTCCTATACAGCTAAACATACACTTGAAAAACAAAAACAGAAAAAAAACCCAGCAATTCCAGTCCTGCATATTTATGCAAAATATTTGAAAACGTATGTTATCGTAGAAATTTTTATGTGCAAGTTAAACATCATTATTAATAATCACCAAAAGGTAGAAATGACCCTTACTGTCTTTCAGCTGGTAAAAGAATGAACTGTGTCATAGCCACACACTGAAATACTACTCAGCAATAAAAAGAAGCATATTGATTCTTAGAGCAACATGGATGAATCTCAGATGAATTTTGTTAAATGAAAGAAGCCATAATCAACAGTCTACATCGTGTATGGTTCCTATTATATAACATTCTGGAAATGGCAAGCTTATAGGGATGAAAAACATACCGGTGATCGCCAGGAGCTGGGAATTCAGGTAATGTTGACTAGCAGAGCAGCACAAATAAATTTTGGGAGTAATGAAAGTGTTCTCTATATGAAAATGGTGATAGATACATGATTGTATGCATTTGTCAAAACTGGTAGAACTATAGAACATGAGTGAATTTTATTGTACGTAAATATAAAAAACAGCAATGAGTGATGTCAACTGTTGAGAAATTTTACTTTTTATAAATTATCTTTTGCCTCCTTTATTCAATTCAGAATTATTTTTTCCAGAAAAATATCCTAATCAAATTAAATAGTATTGCATCCAAATAATACATGCTTCTTTGTGGACTCACTGCTTGAAATATTTTTAATACAAAGTTATCAAATTCAAAACATAATTTTGAAAATAATGTGTGGAAATATTTAAAAAGATAAGAATATCATTTATTTACAGAAACCATAGGATAAACGATAATACAAAGGTTTTCTAAGACACTTAGCCTCATACATTTTCTACCTTCACAAAGCTAGAAAAATGACATAATGATTTTTGTTCAGGTGCATGGTATTAAGAGAAGAGCAGAACAGGAAGGAAGAATTTGGTTATTTTTAGAGAAAGAAACTGTCCATATAATCTTCACTATTTTCTTAACTTTGGGTTGCAACCACTAGTTAATTTCAAATAACTTTATAAATGATTAGTATAATTTGTTTTCACACTTAGGTCTCCAGAAAAGAAAAAAAAAATTCTCTTTTTCTTCTCTCTGAACATGTGTGCTTGCTGAGTGATAATGGCAATTCAAGTTTTTGTACATAATTTTAAAAAATAAAAATAGAGATTCAATTTGTTATAGAGTCCAGTGACTGTCATTACCCTATCATGCTTAGTACCAAAGAATAGGATGTAAAATAAGTTATAGTAAGACTAATAGCTCCGCATTAGATAACCATTTATCTTTCTTTATTTAGAGCTCACTTAAAATAAACGTGTCCCTAGGAGATTAACGTTTAAAATGTTCTATATTTTTTGCACAATTATATTTGAGAAATAGTTGGGAATATAGTTTTATATATTTCAGATAATATTAAACCATAATTGCAGGCATGAAAATACATGAACACACATATAACTTTACTTTCAAACAAAATTTAATTTCCTGGTCATCAGAAAAGCCATTTATCTGGCAGCCTGAAATTTCACAAAAAATAATACATCATAGTTTCAATATCGAGATTGTAGCCTATTTGTGATGAAGAAATTGATGCAAAGTCATTTTCACTGGAAAATGATATAATTTATAATTATTCCTTTTTAACAATTTTCGTGAGATGTAATTTATATCTTAAAATTCACCCATTTAACATGAGAAATTCAGTGGTTTTTAGTATATTCACAGCATTGTGCAACCATCTCAATTCTGGGACATCTTTATCACTTCAAAAAGAAACTATTAGCAGCCACTGCCCATTTCCTGTCAAACTCCAGAGCCCTAAGCAATCTCTAATCTACTTTCTGTCTCAATAGATTTGCCTATACTGTACAAATAATAGAAATGCAATCCTTTATTCGGACAGTTGGGTAAGTGGTCTGTTGTATTTAGCATAATGCTTTCGAATTTCATTCATGTTGTAGTATGTATCAGTACTTCAGTTCTTTTTTTATTACCCAAGATTATCTTTTATAAGGATATGCTACTTCTTATTTATCCATTCATCGGATCATGGACATTTGGGTTGTTTTTATCTTTTGGCTATCATGAACAATGCTTTTATTAACATTTATGTAAAAGTTTGTGTGCTGGGTCTTACACCAACTCTGTTTACCATTTGAGGAACTGCCAAATTGTTTTCCAAATTGGGTGCACTATTTTACAGAAACATCAGAAATGCATGAATGTTCCCATTTCTTTACGCACTTACCAAGATTCGTTATTATTTGTCTTTTTTATTACAGCAATCTTAGGAGTAAGAAGTGCTATCTCATTGTGATTTAGATTTGCATATCCCTAACTGCTAATGAAGTTAAATATTTTTTGATATACTTACTAGTAATTTGTTTATATTCTTTGGAAAAATATGTCTATTTGTATTTTTTACCCATTTAAAAAGTATATCTTTTGCATTACTATTGTTGGATTTTACAAGTTCTTTTTATGGTCTAAATATAAGACTCTTATAAGATATACAATTTACAAATATTTTCTCACATTCTGTGGTTTGTCTTTTCACTTTCTCGATGATATCCTTTGACGTACAGAAGTTTTGAAGTTGATGAGGTATAATGTATTTTTTTGTTGTTGCTTGTACTTTTAGTGTCAGATCTAAGAAAACTTTGCTTAATGCAAAGTCATAAAGGTTTGCTCCTGTGATTTCTAATAGTTTTATAGCTTCTGTTCTCATATTAAGGTCAATGATCCATTTGGAGTGGTTATTTCTATGCATTTTGTAAGGAAGGTATCTAAAAATTATCCTTTTGCATGTGGATATCCAGCAATCCCAATGCCACTTGTGGAAAGACTATTTATTATTTATTGACTTTAATTGGCTGAAAATCAATTGTCCATTGATTGCTATTGGTTTGAGGAAAGTTTTAAAATGGAAAAGGCTTAGTTATCCAACTTTGTTCTTATTTTTCACAATTATTTTGGCTAATCTAGTTCTCTTAAATTCCCATGGTTTTAGGATTAGCGTCTTTTTTTTTTTTTTTGAGACGGAATTTCCCTCTTGTTGCCCAGGCTGGAGTGCAATGGCACGATCTCCGGCTCACTGCAACCTCTGCCTCCTGGGTTCAATCAATTCTCCTGCCTCAGCCTCCCAAGCAGCTGGCATTACAGGCATGTGCCACTACACCCAGCTAATTTTTAGTAGAGACGAGGTTTCTCCATGTTGGTCAGGGTGGTCTCGAACTCCCAACCTCAGGTGATCCGCCCGCCTCGGCCTCCCAAAGTGCTGGGATTACAGGCGTCAGCCACTGCACCCAGCTCCAGATTAGCGTCTTATTTCTGCAAAATTCAAGTTGAATTGTGTCGAATCTGAAGATCAATTTGTGAAGGATTGCATCTTATAATATTGTCTTACAAATTAAGGACATGGGATGTCTTTTCACTTATTTAGATTGTTAATTTCTTTCACCAATAGTTTAGAATTTTTAGAAGATAAGAAGGACTTTTGTTAAATTTATTTCTCAGCATTTTATTTCATTTTATTCTACTGTAAATGAGATTCTCTTAATTTTTTAAGAAATGTTTAATGCTAGAATATAGAAATACACTCAATTTTTAATATATTGCTCTTATACCTTGAAG
The DNA here is from genome assembly GCF_000001405.40 of Homo sapiens. NCBI lineage: Eukaryota > Metazoa > Chordata > Mammalia > Primates > Hominidae > Homo > Homo sapiens. Next base: position 5,724,670 of record NC_000024.10, on the reverse strand, counting down.
CACTGCTGAAGTATTAGTTTTAACAAGTTTTTAATAGATTTCATAAGATTTTCTGTATAAGAAACTCATATCATCTTCAAATAGAGATAATTCTACTTCTTTCTTTGCAATCTGGATGTTTTAGTATCTTTTATTTATTTATTTATTTTGCCTAGTTACTTGTGGTAAAACCTCTAGTACAATGTTTAATGTTTAATAGAAGTGGTAAGTATGGACATCCTATGTCTTGCTTCTGATCTTATGGGAAAAGCATTGAGTATTTCACCATTAAATGTTTTGGAATTTCTCTTGTTGTTTCTTCTTTAACCAATTTATTACTTAGGAAGATCTTGTTTAATTTCTAAATATTTGTTAATTTTCCAAATTTCTTTTGTTATTCATTTCTAATGTTCTTTTGTTTTGATAAAAAGACATATTCTGGATGAGTTCAATCTTTTCAAATTATTGAGGCTTCTTTTATAGCCTACCATATAGTCTATCCTGGAAAATCATGCCTGTGCAGTTTCATAGTATATGTATTCTGCTCTTGTAGTCAGATACATGTCTGCTGGTTCTAGTTGGGCTAGAGTGCTGTTTGAGTCTTCTTTTTATTGATCTACTGCCTAGTTGTTCCATTATTGAAAAAGAAATATAGAAATATCTAACTATTATTGAAGTGTCTATTTCTCTCTTCAATTCTGTCAAATTTGCTCCATGAATTTGGTGGCACTGGAGTTAGGTGCATGTATGTTTGTAGTTATTATGTTTTTCTGATAGTTTGGCCATTTTTTCATGATAAAATGTTCCTCTTTATTTCTGGTAACATATTTTAAAGTCTTTTATTGCCGGATATTAGTGTAGTCACTTCAGCTTTCTCATGATTCTTACTTACATAGTATAATGATTTTCCGTAATTTTACATTCAATGCATTGAATCTGGGTTGTTCATACTGTAGGCATATATTCAGATCTTATTTTGTATTCTGACACTGTTGGCCTTGTTTTATGTTGTTTAATCCATTTACTTTGTTATTAATATCATGAACTGATATCCGTCATTTTTCTTTTTATTTTCTATGTGTTTCATGGTTTCCCCATTTCTCCTTGCAGCTTTCTTTTGCATTAGGTGAATACATTCTAGTGTAATATTTTAATGCTTTTTATGATATTTTTCACTATACATGTGCGGGTATGTATATGTGTGTGTATGTGTGTATGAGTGTTATTCTCTTAGTGTCTAGTGCTTGAAACTTAATTTATCATAGTTGTTTTTGACTTAATGTAAGTTAATTCCATGGGACATAGAGATATTACTCCTATATACCTATATTTACTATTTACTTTTCTGTAACATATATATGTAAAAAATTCAATAACTACATTGCCATAATTATTAATTTATGTATTTTTAATGAAGCTGATAAAAGGGGAGTAGTACATAATTATAAATTATATTTTTTTAACCTTCCTATTTTACAATTTTGTTCTTTTATTTCTTTTCCTGTGAATTCTAGTTATAATCTGGCATCATTTCCTTACTCCAATACTTTGCTTCTACCTATCTTTGTGCTAATGTTGTAATTATGTATTATTATTGTATATGAATTTCTATATGTTATAGACTGAACAAAATGATATATAATTGTGTATATATAATTATATATGTATATATCTTATACAATTGTTTATATATAGATGCATATGTCTTGTCTTGTCTTATACAAGGGTTTTTCAAATTCATTAAGAGGAGAAAAAAGAAAAAACAAAATTATACTGTCTTTTACGTTTACCTACATAATTGCTTTTACTGCCAATATTGTGTTTTTTAATGTGGTTTCAAATTACTATCTTGAGTCTCTGACTTTCAGTCTGAAGAATTTCCTTTAGTATTTTATGTAACATGGATATGCTAGCAATAAATTGTCTCAATATTTGTTTATCTAGGAAGGTTTGTATTTCACTTTCATTTCTGACCAATATTTTGCTGGATAAAAAATTATTTCTTACCTTTTTTTTTTCTTACGACTCTTTGTTATTTCACTGCCTTCTTGCCTTCTGGTATCCACTGAAAGTCTTTTTTTTCCCTCCAAAATTTTCTTATTTTCTTTATCTTTCAGTATTTTTACTGAAATGTGTCCATGTGGATCTCTGTGTTTATCAGACTTCATTAAATTTATTGTGTATATATGACTTTTATCAAATTGAGAAATTTAATAACATTATTTCTTCTAGTATTATTTCCACTCCTTTTTCTTCTTTCTTTCTGATACCCACTTTCCTCATAATTGTTCTTTATTTCTTTTTTACTTCAATGAAGTGAATAGATTAAACAACAAAAAACAAGGCAAACATTGTCAGATAGAATAAAAAATAAGATCTGAATATATGCCTTTTTCTTTGTTCTTTTTTCTCTCTTTTTCTTTAGATTGCATAATATCTATCAACCTAAATTCGAGTGTTCTGATTCATTCTTCTATTGGTTCAAATGCACTGTTGAATCACTCTAGTCAATTTTACATATTGATAACTGTACTTTTCAACTCCAGAGTTTCCATTTGGTATTTTTGTGCTTTTTATTTCGTTATTGATACTCTGTATTTGATAAAATATTGGCATTTTACCTTCCTTTACTTATTTAAGCAGAGTTTCTTTTAAATCTTTGAATATGATTATAATGGCTTCTTTGTAGTTATTATCTGTTAAATCTGACAACAGAGCCCTCTCACAGTTAGTTTTTGTTGCTTGCTTTTTTTCATGTAGAGCTCACAGTGTAACTCATAATTTTGTCACAGAATACCTCATAATTTTATCAAAAACTAGACATTTTAGATTATATATTGCATCAATTGTGAATACTGATACCACTACCCTCTCTGGGACTTGATTTTGTTGTTGTTTATTTGCTTGTTTTGTTACTTGGCTAGAATATTTGGCGAAGTCTATATCCCATTGAATGTGTTACCTCTGATGTCATGCATCAGAGGGTACGGCCTTAAATATGGACATACACTGAGATGTCAGTAATTTTAGCTAAGGTTTATTTGACAGTCTCTTTCCCTGATTTTTCAGCTAAACTACTTGCTTCATTTGGTATCCGTTCTCAGCCAGTTAGGCTCCACTCATTACTGGCTGATTGCTTGATTGTTTTTGGCAATGTCCTAAGGCATAAATTGCTCAGCAGTCTGATACAATCAAATGTGAGCCCCTTTGCAGGGGTAGTCTTTAAGGCAACATTTGGATGTTGGTTCTGACCCAAGCGGGCTTTTTCTCTGCACTTTTTCCTGGTTGTCTCTGCTAAACCTACAGCTAATCTACAGTCTTTTAAATTTTAATGTAATTTTTATTTTTTTGTCTCATGGAGCTATCAGCTTCTTCTTATTGCCTTACCAGCAAAATCTCCACTGTTTTTGACAACTCCCTTAGCTTGAACTTCCCCCATACTTTGCTCCAAATGAGTCCCTTCTCTTGAGGATAGCTTTGGAGCTCTCTGTATTTATCATCCCCTGGGCAATATATGTGTGCCACTGCTCTCACGATAAAAATGAGGACAGTAGCCTGCTTCTTTTAGATGTATAACCCTGCTTTTTAGCAGACAGGTGAAGTATCCTCTGGTCTTCTTAACATGCCTAACCCAGCATGGGATTTCTACTCTATAAGTGAATTGGAGTATGGGCAACTAGGCACAGTGTTCTTAACCTATAATAGAGCTTCTGCAACACAGACCTGTTAGAAATTAGAAATCCTGGAAGCCTGTGCCTCAGTGGAAGATACCTTAACCCTAGACTTGGAGTTGGAGGGAAAAGGAGTTCTGCATTTTTGAATGACCCTGGAAGGGATGAAGCTTTTGTCACACTAAATTGTGTGGCGAGATATGGATTATGATTCAAATGCCACAGGCTCTCACTATTCTTGCAGAATATTAGTAGATTTTCTAGAATAAGTGCTTCTCCATTTGCTGTTTGCTCTTAGGATAAACTCTTAGGTTGCTTCCAACTTTTGGCTGCTGTGAATAATGCAGCTATGAATATGGGTACTGATACCTGTTTGAATCTCTATTTCAACTACTTTTGAGTATATACCCAGAGTAGAATGGTTGGGTCATATGGTAATTTTATGTTTAATATTTTTTTTTTTTTTTATGAATCACCATACCATTTTCCTTAGTAGCTACGCCATTTTACATTCCCATCAGCAATGTATTAGCGTTTTAATTATTTCACATCATTGTTCTTTCTTTCTTTCTTTCATCTCTTGAGACTTATTCACTATCACAAGAATAGCATGGGAAAAACCCACCCTGATGATTCAATTACCCCTCACTGGTTCCCTCCCACAACACGTGGAGATTATGGGAGCTTCAATTCAAGATGAAATTTGAGTGGGGACACAGGCAAACCACACCATTCTGCCCCTGGCAACTCCCAAATCTCATGTCCTCACATTTCAAAACAAATCATTCCTTCTCAACAGTTCCCCAAAGTCTTGATTCAGCAATAACTCAAAAGTTCACGGTCCAAAGTCTCATCTGAGACAAGGCAACTCCCTTCCACCTATGAGCCTGTAAAATCAAAAGCAAGTTAGTTACTTCCTAGATACAATGGAGGTACAGGCATTGGGTAAATATGCCTATTCCAAATGGGAGAAATTGGCCAAAATGAAGAGACTACAGGCCTCATGAAAATGTGAAATCCAGTGAGGTGGTCAAATATTAAAGCTCCAAAATGATCACCTTTGACTGCATGTTTCACATCCAGGTCACACTGATGCAAGAGGTGGGTTCTCGTGGTCTTGGGCAGCTCTGCCCCTGTGGCTTTGCAGAGTACAGCCTCACTCCTGGCTGCTTTCACAGGCTGGCATTGAGTGTCTGTGGCTTTTTCAGGTGCATGGTGCAAGCTGTGATTGGATCTACCATTCTGGGGTCTGGAGGATGGTGGCTCTTTTCTCATCACTCCACTAGGCAGTGCCTCAGTGGGGATTCTGTGTGGGGACTCCCACCTCACATTTCCCTTCTGCACTGCCCTAGCAGAGGTTCTCCGTGAGGATTCTGCCCCTGCAGCACAACTCTGCCTGGACACCCAGCAATTTCCATACATCCTCCAAAATTTAGGTGGAGATTCCCAGTTCTTGACTTCTGTGCACCCACAGGCCCAATACCACATGTAAGACACCAATGTATGGGGCTTGAACCCTCTGAAACAATGTCTTGAGGTGTACATTGGCCCCCTTTAGCCATGGCTGTAATGCAGGGCACCAGGTCCCAAGACTGCACAAAGCAGCAAAACCCTGGATCTGGCCCACAAAACAATTTTTTTCCTCCTAGACACCCCCAGCTTGTGACTGTAGGTGCTGCCATGAGGACCTCTGACATGTCCTGGAGAAAGTTTTCCTACTGTTTTGGTGATTAATATTTGGCTTCTCAATACTTATGAAATTTTCTCCAGCCAGCTTTGAATTTTTCCTCAGAAAATGGGTTTTTCTTTTCTATTACATCATCAGGCTGCAAATTTTCCAAACTTTTATGCTCTGCTCCCATTTTAAACATAAGTTCCAACTTCAAACCATTTCTTTGTGAATGAATAAAACTGAATGCATTTAAGAGCACCCAAGTTACCTCTTGAATGCTTTACTGCTTAGAAATTTATTCTGCCAGATACCCTAAATCATCTCTCTCATGTTCAAAGTTCCACAGATATCTAGGGCAGGGGAAAAACGCTACCAATCTGTTTGCTAAAGCATAGCAATAATCACCTTTGCTCCAGTTCTCAATAACTTCCTCATCTCCTTCTGGGACCACCTCAGCCTGAACTTTTTGGTCAACACCATTCAACAAGTCTCTAGGAACGTTGAAACTTTCCCACATCTTCCTGTCTTCTGAGCCCTACAAACTGTTCCAATCTCTGCCTGTTACCCAGTTCCAAAGTCACTTCCACATTTTCGGGTATCTTAATATAATAACAGTGCCCTAATCCTGGTACCAATTTGCTACATTAGTCCATTTTCTTACTGCTATGAAGAAATACCCAAAACTGGGTAATTTAAAAAGAAAAAGAAGTTTAATGAACTCACAGTTCCACATGGCTGGGAAGGCCTCACAATCATGGCAGAAGAAAAAAGGCATGCCTTACATGGCAGCAGGCAAGAGAGCATGTGCAGGGGAACTGCCCTTTTGAAAACCATCAGATCTCTTGAGACTTATTTACTACCATAAAAACAGCACAAGAAAAACCTGCCACCGTGATGTAATTATCTCCACTGGGTCCCTCCCACAACACATGGGGATTATGGGAGCTACAATTCAAGGTGAGACTTGGGTGTGGACACAGCCAAGCCATATCAGAGGACATAAGATTTTTTGATACAGGCTTGCAAAGTGTAACAATCACACCATGAAATATGGGTTATCCATCCCCTCAAGCATTTATCCTTCATGTTATAAACAATCTAATTATATTCTTTTAGTTATTTTTTAATGTACAGTTAAATTATTATTGACTATAGTCATCCTGTTTTACTATCAAATATTAGGTATTATCCATTTATTCTAACTACTTTTTGGAATGATTAACCATCCCTGCCACCCACTCACTTTCTCTACTATGCTTCCCAGCCTCTGGTAATCATATCCTACACTCTATCTCCATGAGTTCAATTGTTTTAATTTTCAGATCTCACAAATAATTGAGAACATGCAATGCTGATCTTATTGTGCTTGGCTTATTTCACTTAATATGATAACCTCCAGTTCTATCCATGTTGTTGCAAATGACTGAATCTCATTTTTTATGTGAATGAATAGTACTACATTGTGTATAAATTTTATATTTTCTTTATCCATTTATCTGTTGAGGAACACCTAGGTTGTTTCCAAATCTTGTCTATTGTGAACAGAGTTGTCAAAAAAGGGGTGGAGATATCCAATTTCTGTACTTTGGGGTATATACCAAGCAGTAGAATTGTTGAATCATATAGTAGCTCTATTTTTAGTTTTGTGAGGACCCTCCAAACTGTTCTCTATAGTGGTTGTACTAATTTACATTCCCACAAATAGTGCATGGCGGTTCCCTTTTCTCCACACCCTCTCCAGTTTTTGTTATTGCCTGTCTTTTAGATAAAAGCCATTTTAACTGGGGCGAGATGATATCTCATTGTAGTTTTATTTGCATTTATCTGATAATCAATGATATTGTGCACACTTTCATATGCCTGCTTGCCATTTGCATGTCATCTTTTGAGAAATGTATATTCACATTTTGTGTCCATTTTTTGATTAAATTATTAGTGTTTTGTTTTTTTTAATACAGTTGTTTGAGCTGAGCTCCTTAAATGTTCTGCTTGTTAAGACCTTGTCTGGGGGGTAATTTGCAAATATTTTCTTCCATTCTGTGGGTTGTCTCTTCACTTTGTTGATTGTTTTATTTGCTGTGCAGAAGCTTCTTAACTGGATATGATTCCATTTGTACATTTTTGCTTTCATTGCCTGTTCTTGTGGGGTATTACAGAAAACTTTGCCTGGATTGATGTTGAGCATTTTTCAAATGTTTCCTTTTAATACTTTTCTTTTAATGGTTTCACAGTTTGAGGTCTTAGATTTAAGTCTTTAATCCATTTAGATTTAATTTTTGTATATGGTGAGAGATAGGGATCTAGTCTCATTCTTCAGCATGTGAATATCCAGTTTTCCCAGCACTATTTATTGAAGAGACTGTCTTTTCCCCAGTGTATGTTCTCAGCATTTTTGGAGAAAATGAGTTCACTGTATGTGTTTGGATTTGTTTGTAGGTTCTCAATTCTGTTCCTTTGGTCTATGTGTCTGTTTTTATGTCAGGTTTATGCTGTTTGGTTACTATAGCTCTGTAACATAATTTGAAGGCAGGTAATATAATTCCTCTGGTTTTGTTCTTTTTGCCTAAGATAACTGTGGCTATTCTGGGTCTTTTGTGGTCCCATATGAATTTTAGGATTCTTTTTTCTATTGCTATAAAGAATGTCATTGGTATTTTGATAGGGATTACATTAAATCTGTAGTGGCTTTGTGTAATATGGACATTTAAAAAATATTAATTTTTCTAATTCATGAACATGGAATATTTTACCTTTTTTGGTGTTCTCTGAAATTTTTTTTGTCAGTGTTTTATAGTTTTTTATTATAGCGATCTTTTACTTCTTTGGTTATGTTAATTCTTAGGTATTTACTTTTGTGTGTGGCTATTATTAATTTGACTACTTTTTAATTTCAATTTCAGTTTATTCACTGTTGGGATATAGAAATGCTACTGATTATTGTATTTTTATTTCATATCGTGCAAGTTTACTAATTTTTTTTATCAGTTCTAATGGTTTTTTTGCACTCTTTAGTTTTTTCCCAATATGGAATTATGTCATCAGCAAAAAAAGATAATTTGACTTCTTCCTTTCCAATTTAAATGTACTTTATGTATTTCTCTTGTCTGATTGCTCTAGTTAGGAATTCCAGTATTATATTGAATAACAGTGGTGAAAATGGGCATCCTTATCATGTTGCAAATCTTAGAGGAAAGGCTTTTATTATTTTACTATTCAGCGTGATATACTAGCTGTGGGTCTGTCATATATGGCTTTTATTATGTGGTAGTGTGTTCAGTTTTTCAGAGTTTTTCTCATTAAGGGGTATTGAATGTAATTATTTTGACTTCAATTGAAATAATCATAGTTTTTTTTTCTTTCATTCTATTGATATGATTGATTTGCTTATGCTGAACCATCCTTGTGTAATAGGAATAAAGACTTCTTGGTCATGATAAATAATCTTTTTAGTGTATTGTTTAATTCAGTTTGCTAATTTTTTGTTAAGGTTTTTACATCAATATTCATCAGAGACATTGGGGCCTGTTGTTTTGTTTTACTTTAACATGTCTTTGACTGGCTTTGTTATCATGCTAATATTAGATTCGTAGAATGAGTTTGGAAGTATTTTCTCATCCTCTATTTTTAGGGATAGTTTGAGCAGGCTTGGATTTAGTTCTTTAAATTTCTGGTACAATTCAGTAGTGAAGCCATCAGGTCTTGGGCTTTTATATCCTGGGAGAATTTTTATTACAGTTTTGATCTCATTTTTTGTTATTGGTTTGTTCAGGTTTTAGAGTTCTTCATGGTTTAATCTTGGTAGATGGCATGTGCCCAGAAATTTATCCATTTCTTACAGATTTTCCAATTTTTTGGCATATAGTTCCTCATAGTCAAAATTTTCTCACTGATATATTTTTTGCAAAGGTTGTTTCAATCCCCCTTTGGCTTTTATTCACCTTATTCTTAAGATGTTGGTCACAGAGATGGAAAAACAGCAATGACTACTCTGGCTTCTTCCTGCTGACGGGTGGTACAATTGGGGGAGGTTGGTCCCAGGAGAATATGAGTAAAACCGCTGCTTTGCAGCCATCTGCGTGTACTCACTGGTGTATGACAAAAACATTAATATTCTCACCCACAGTTCTAATACAGCACTTAAGTGAACAACAAACCATAGGTTGTTAGAAAGACAGATTGGGATAAACAGGAAAGAGCAAATTAAATATACCATCTTCGGTATAGTTGAATATCTTTTGAGTCAGTGTCTAAGTCCCGAGACTAGATCAGCTCAGTTAAACAGCTGTTTCCCACATGAGGAGGTAGCACTTCAGATTGGCTAGACCTCTCTATTTTATGAAGGCAAACTAATTTTAATAAGAGGCAGTTTTATAGAGACAGAAGAAAAACAAAGGTTAATGTTGGGTACAATTTATCCAGGTGTTAGATTTAAAGCATCTTTAGGTATAGAGGAGGACAGTAGTAACAATCTGACACATTTTTCTCTCTCCTGTATTACAAGCAATAAGCTTTAACTTACAGGGCCTCAGGAAAGAGGTAGTGACAATTTTATTGAGGCCAAGTCAAAAAAGAAAAAGGAAACAAAACTTTGAAAGCATTAGTATGGAGACTTGTAGTCTGGAAAGAATTTAGTATTCATTCCAAGTTGCAGAAAATTATAAAAACTCAAAATAGGGGACTAGAATGTAATAAGAGGTGTACTATAGTTTTTTCTGAAATATAATTTTTCTCTCTCCAATCCTTGTTTTTACTAAAAACAAATCACAGCAAGACTACTTTATTTGTAAAATAAGTTTTAGTCTTACTATACTTGGCCTGAGTATTTGCATAAAGTCAGCAAGAATAATTATTTACCACACAGTCCCTTTTTAAATTCGCATTGCTGGAATTTTATTCCATAGGAAATCTTAGATTAAACTTTTTTAAAGCCTTTAAGTGTAGCCACAGATTTATCTATGCTTACAAATAACTGTATTAATTGGGTGAATTTCTCACCTCAAGGTGCCAAGATAATTTCGGCTTTTTGGGCCTGTCAGGAAGTGACATTCTTTACTTACCACATGGCAGGACCCCTAAACAGGGACTGTGTAGACAAGTTACGAGGTCAGTTTTCCCAAGGGACTTTTATTGGCTCTATAAGTCAACTTTGACTCCTTAAAAGAATCTAAAAGTATGCCATTTCATTCAATGCCATGGTAAAATAACCAGTGTCTCCAATTTTTTCCTGTTACAAAAGAAAAAAGATTCTTATCGAACTTATGCAAATAACTATACCTGTCATAAATTAAGTACACTTGGAAATAGTTTTCAAGTTCTGGAGAAATCAGGGAGAGAGAAATATGCTTCAGATTTTGCTCACAGGAGGGTACTTTACCAAATTATTTAAAGCTGTAGATATCTCACAAGAAAAAAAAAAGGTTTGCTGGACTCCAAAACAAAAAAAAAAAATTAGCAATGTTTTAAACAAATTCGTAGGAAGATTATTTTGGTTTTTCATTAATTCAGTCTATGTAATTAATTCCTGTTCTGCTTGATATTCATACACATTAGCTCCCTATGGGAGTCTTGGAAGTTCTTTCTTCTATTTTAATGTCACAATCTCCAAAGTTATCACAAACCTGCATTCAAGTGCACCCGTCAGAGTCCTATAGCTGATTATAAAACCAACCTGAAAAAAATCAAAATAAAACAACTGTGGCTGAAAAAAGTCTCAAAACAGCCATGATTAAAGTCTGGTCATCTCTGTGGCACATAATAACATAACAATCATAATTATTACTAAAAACATATACTGAGACATATCAGAATTACAAGAATCTCACACAATTCTGGAACACACACCAATAACACATTTATGCAAATACAGCCCAAAGAAGAAAGCCAAACACAATTTTCTACTTGACAATGCTTCCTGTATGATTTTGATATACCAAATAAGCCAAATATATCTCTTTTGGACTTTAGAGTATTTAATATCTGCTCCTAAAGCCTGATTAGATCAAAAAAGGGCTTAATTTACAATTTGACCATGGAAAGTTTGTCAAATATCAAATGTTTAAACACTTGATATTACAAAACAAATCCCAAGTAACTGTAAGTCATTTATTTAGCCCAAAAGGATAACTAAAGAAAATTTTAAAAGCAAAATTCTTTACTTGCTGATAGAGGGGAGATTCAGCTTTCCAAACAGGACTCAATAAAGACAGCTTGAAAACAACTGGATGTCTTCTCTCTCCCCCCTCTAATTTCTGTCGTTTATTCAAAAGGCATACAAAAATCTTTTATAATATTTTCATAATACACTAAAATATTGTTTAAAAGAGAGCACAAAATCTCACCTTTGCATTCATGTCTTATAGATGTTAAACCCAATTATTAATAAAATCTTACAAACAAATCTATACCATCTTAATCAGTTTGACCATGAGGTAAAATTTTCAGAAACCTCTTATAACTCTTTACAATTTTCTCTTAAACAGCAGGTCCATTCTCTAAGAAAAACATGTTATTCAGACACATGGGCACAGATTCTTGCCCACCATTAGTGTACTTTATTTTAATGTTTAACCTACAGAAAAACTAGATCATCTCCTTCAAATTTTAGCCATTTGTTAACACCCACAGAACTTCATTTACAAGATCAATCCTTCACAAACCCTTTGCAACTTGCTTCAAATTTGTTTTGTCCCATTACTCTTTTAAGAAATTTTTTTTTAAACTTCTGAGCTAGACAAAATTACATGCCCTTTAACAACAACAACAAAAATTCCCATGCCTTCTTATAACCTCTTACCAAAAACAAATTCTACTTTCCTTTCACAACATGAATGTAAAATTGTTTTTCCAGTAGTCTCAAGTACATGCTATGCTGTTAACCCTTAGCAACTTTTAGTTTTGGTAAAAAACCTGGTAAGCAAGCAATTTTAACCACGTATAACATTGCAGAGCCCATGACAAAGACAAAGCTGCATACAATGTCTGACTCTTCCCAGCCTAGCCAGGGAATCTGGCTAACTCTGTATGTCTCCAGACCTTATTTAGAATCTAATGACTGTAAAACAGACAAATCAACAATTATTAAAAGTCATAGAAGCCGTTTATTACCTTAAAGCATCTAGCAAACCATATCTGACCTGCCTAATTTACACCAAATGTATAAACTTTAAAAACATTTTTATTTTAGTTTACCAGTAATCTTTTAACTGTCTTTATTTTTCAAAGATTATCAGTCACATGACCTAAAACATGTTAAAGTTTCTTTCTGAAATTTGATCTAAGCGCTTATTATTCATTAAGCCAATTCATTAGAGCTCTTTTAAATAAACACTACATATATACATGTAGATACACACACAGACAGAAACAGAGAATCAAGACAGAGTTCCATCAACTGAGAAGTGTTTAAAGGCAGGGCAGGGACTTTAAAACAACATCTGCATGCATATAGCTCCATTATCTATGGAGCTCTCCAAAGAAAAATCCTTTTAAAATATTTTATTTTAGCCAGGATAAATAGCCAATATTTCTGGCATTTGAATCTTTCGTTGTTGTTGTTTTCTGAGACAGAGTCTTGCTCTGTCACCCAGGCTGGAGTGCAGTGATGTGATCTCGGCTCACTGCAACCTCCGCTTCCCCGGTTCAAGCGATTCTCCTGCCTCAGCCTCCCAAATACCTGGGACTACAGGTGCATGCCACAAAGCCCTGCTAATTTTTTGTATTTTTAGTAGAGATGGGGTTTCACCATGTTAGCCAGGATGGTCTCGATCTCCTGACCTGGTGATCTGACCAACTCAGCCTCCCAAAGTGCTGGGATTACAGGCGTGAGCCAGTGCGCCTGGCCTTGAATCTTTTTTACTAAAGGTAACCTCCTATGTGAAATCAATAAGCCATTACTAAGGGGACAGCTTAGCAACAGGCACACGAGGCGTCTCCAAAGAAATGGTAAGTGATTTTTACAAGATCTAGAATCTCCCCAAAGGTAGTTCAGATAAAAGAAAATTCAAGACCAGAAGCTCTCCATGGAGGGAAAAAATATCAATAAATGGCAAAATTTCTACAAGTATTAAACCTCAAAGGACTCACTCCAAAGCCAAAACTGAACCCAGGCCACCAATTGGAGAGGGTAAAGAGTTAGCAACTGACCCAGAGCAAAGGTGACTGCTGTTATTCTTCCCTGAGGGAGTCTTGAACATTTTCAAGCTTGCAAAGGATTTTAACTGCTCAGGAACCATGTTATTATTATGGATCCTTCTTTTAATTTAACCTTTTTCTTTTAATGGTATCCTCAGTTCCAATAGCGACTCAATTCAAAAAGTCTGGTAAAGTCTAGATCTCAAATTTCCAGGCTTTTACCATATCAGCAAAAGGTGTTTCCAGAAAGAGAGTAGAGGAGATATCTCCATAATCCCCATGATCCCCATGATTCCCAAGAATTTACTTTCAGAAATGGGCTTAAGATAGCAAAAGATGATAAAATCCCAACAAAGATGAGGACTTTTAAGACAAAGCTCACCCAGGGGCTTGGCATATTCAGGATGAAGAACATGCTGATTCATCTCAGACCGCTTGTCCTCTCAGACTGGCTACCTGACATAAACTCAAATATTCCAGCCCTCCAGATGGTACAGGCCCAAAAGAGAGTACCCCACATAGTCATAAAGTCATGCTCTCAAGGATGTAAAGCAAGACAAGAAGAAACCTTTATCTAGTTTTTGCTCCAGGGATCTGTAGCATAGTTTGTAACTGACGAACCTGCCGGGCTGGCTTGAGTAGCAAGCTGATAGGGGTCCTAAATACACATTCTATTCTGCGGTACCCCTCTTTATGACAGAATGGCATAGAAAGACTAATTCATAGTGCAAGGTACACCAGATTCACTACAGTCTCAGACTTGCCTCACAAATCCTTTTTCTCATTAATAAACAGTGATTTTTACAGATCACTCAACTGGTTTGCACAAAGAGAGAGAGGAGCCAGAAGCCTGATTGGTAAGAAATTCATTCTATTTCTTTTGCTGGCATGCCAGTTTTCCAAGTTCCCTTTCCCTTGGGGCCCTGGCGACCCTGCTCACTGCACTATAGTCACAAAGGAAAATCACCTTTTTCCATTTCATGGAGCCTTAGGCAAAAGCCTCTTAATTTTGCAAGATGCCACCCAATGGGCTGCATGGGGAAACCTCATTGGGGGAACCAAATTAACATTTTCCATCCCAGCTGTCACAAAATACACATAACAAAAGGGACAGACATTAGTCACCTTGCTGAACACCCAATATTGACCAATTTCCTTTGCTCCCTGTTTTCTTTGATCCATTCAAAGTGAGGAGGGACCTCTGACTGAGAATTCAATGGGTAGTGTAGGGCAATTTGAAGAGGGGATAATCACCCCTAGTCAGGCCTGTTGACTTCCACTAACAATTGCTTCAGGGCTTACCAAATGTGACCAGACAAATAAGGAGGCTTCTCTGAGTTAAGCCTGCTGGACTTTCATCAGCAATTTCTTCAGAGATACCATCCACAAATACAAACACACACAACAAAGATGAACAGAAGGCCTTCCAAACCGATTCCAGACCAGAGGAGCATTCCTTCAAACAGTCCCATATTCTTCACCCAACTGAGGAGATAGTTTCCCCATCTGAAAATCCTTGTGATAGGGCCAGTCCCTGTGACAGGGCTACAGTGCATCTTAGTAAGGCCAATAGATCAGGGGAAGGGTGGAGGTGATGGTAGTGCCTAGCATGTTCACCAGGTAGGTTCCAGACTATTTCTCCACTGCAATTAGGCCCAAGCCCTGTGGGTCAACAGCACCTCATCAGCAGAGACAGCACCAGAGATAGGCTTCAGTTAAATAAGCAGCTGCCAGAGATCACCTCTGTGTTCCTCATTCTGGTGGGGGGACTAACAAACTGTGGTCAGGGGATCCCAGATGAGCCCCCAAATTTATAACTTCCCAAGAGGTTCTTCCTGCCTGCTGCATAAAGAAAGACCATGCCATTGCAGGAAAGAGTTTAATAGACATGATGCCAGCCACCCCATGTGGGAGTCAGAGTTTATACTCAAATCATCTCATCCAAAGCTCATCAGTTAGGTGTTTTTCAAAGGCATTTTGGGGAAAGGGGTGGGGGTGGCCAGGTAATGAGTGCTCATTGCTGATTGCTTGGGGTGGAAACGAAATCATAGAGGGTCATAGCTGTCCTCTTGCAGGATGAATTGGGTGGGGTTGGTTGGTCCAGGTGGAGCCATGGGTGTCAGATATGCAAAAAAAAAAAAGAAAAATATATCTTAAAAGGCCAATCTACAATAGTGGTGTTATCGGCGGAATAATTGGGGAAGCTGCAGATCTTATAATCTTTAGATTAATGGCCGAAAATCTTTCATGTCTGCGCCTCAGCAGGACTCGGCTCCTCTCCTCAGCCTAGACTGATGGCCTCCCATTAGCTTTACAAAAGCCCTGTTGAGTTTTGGGTAAGACCTATTATCATTTAAACAACAGACTAAATGTCTCTCAAAGTTACCTTGTACTAATAGCCCAGGAATAATTAAGGGAAAGGTAAGATGGGGGGGTAGATTAGCTCAGATCTTGTTCACTTTTGTAATTGTCTCACTGATAACAATTTTTAGAAAGGCAGCTTCATTCATTTTAATGAAGGTGATTTTCCCTGATGATATGATTTAGCTTTTTGCTTTCTATTTTTTGTGTATCCATTGTATGTTTTTTGGTTTGAGATTACCATGAGGCTTGCGAATACTATCTTATACCTCATTTTTTAAGGTGGTAAAAACTTAACAGTACTTGCATAAACAAATAAGCAAAAAGTAAACTAATAAAGATTATATGCTTTAACTTTGTCCCCTGCTTTTCAAATTTTTGTTGTTAATATTTATATGTTATTGTACTGTTTATGTCTTGAAAAGTTGCTAAATTATTATTTTTGACAGGTTTATCATTTTGTCTTTCTACTTAAAAGTAGATTACACACCACAGTTACAGTGTTATAATATTCCGGTTTTTTGTGCATTTACTATTCCTAGTCAGTTTTGTACCTTCAAATGATTTCTTATTAATATCATTTTCTTTCTGATTCAAGTACACCCTCTAGCATTTTTTGTAGGAGAGGTCTGGTGTTAATGAAATATGTCAGCTTCTGTTTGTTTATAAAAGTCTTTATTTCTCCTTCATGTTTGAAGAATATTTTTAACCAGACATACTTTTCTAGGGTAGAAGGGTTTTCTTTGTTGTTGTTGTTGGTTGTTTTGTTTTTTTTCCTGTTAGCACTTCAAATTTGTCTTACCAGTCTATCCTGGCCTGTAGGGTTTTCACTGAAAAGTCTGCTTCTAGATGTTTGAGCTCCATTGTATTTTCTTTTTCCCTGTGGTGCTTTTAGGATCTTTTTTTTAGTCCTTGACCACTGGACATTTCATTCTTAAATGCCTTGAGGTCGTCTTCTTTGTGTTAAATCTGCTTGGTGTTCGACAGCCTTCTTATACTTGGATATTGATATATTTCTCTAAGTTTGGGAAGTTCTCTGTTATTAAATAGTATCCCCTTGAATAAACTTTCTACCCTCTTCATTTTCTCTACCTCTTCTTTAAGGCCAATACCCCTTACATGTGCTCTTTTGAGGCTATTTTCTAAATCCTGTAGGCGTGTTTTATTGTTTTTTATTATTTATTCTTTATTCTTTCTTCTCTGTGTATTTTCATACAGTCTGTCTTCAGGCTCACTAATTCTCTCTTCTGTTTGATCAATTCTATTATTAAAAGACTAATGCTTTCTTAGTATGACAATTGTATTTTTCAACTCCAAAATTTCTGCTTGATTCCTTTTAATTATTTCAAGCTCTTTGTTAAATTATATGTATATATATACACATATACACACACAAACATATATATGTACATCCATATATATATATACACACACACACACAAGTATATGAAAATCCACCAACCACTAGTAAATCAATTTTAAACAATGCACAAAGGACAGAAGTGTAATAAACATTTTCAGGATTTCGATGTGAATGAATGTTGCTAAAATATTATTTTAAATATATATTTTTTAGTACACTGTACAGTCTTTCTTAAATACCAACCCCATTTAATTATCTTAAAAACTATTTTTCAAGAAGAAAGTATGGGACCATCACAAATTAACTCAATGCAGGTTCAAAATAACATGCATTGTGAATTAGCGAGGTTCAATTTAATTATACTTTAAACAACATTCTCTGAGGGCTTCTGTAACTCATTAATAACATTTAATTTTTATGAATTGAATATTCTTCCTAGAGAAATATATTAGCCTCTCACACAGTAGCAAACTACTCTGTGAATATCACAGTAATGCTTCCCTAGGAAAATTGTGATGCAGTCATATAGTTGATCATTTTATCATGATGAAAAGGAAACTTGAAATGAAATTACTATTTAAATGATGGACAAAAATTCTGGCAACACACACATCAATGGAGTACACTGAGAAGATGGAATATACAGCAGAGTAATAGAAATAGCTATCTGCAAAGAATAGATTTCAGAGAATATTACTTCAATATCTCTTCTTCGAAACCATTTACAAGTGAACTGTTGCCATCTGCATTTACTGAGAAGAAGTCAGAAAAAATTACAGTATATCGAAATATATTTTAGCACAATTCAATAAAGATCACTGTCAGAGCATAATTCATCTGTTTTGGCTCAGAAGGAAAATTTGCTCTTATGATATTAAATTCATTTGGACAAATATTTTTCTACTTTCTAAATGCTTATATGTTTTTAACCTTTAGATTACTTTTGAGAACTATCTATTAAATCACATTTTTAATTGGATGATGTAGAATATGTTTTAAGTAATAGAGAAAATCCCAGTCTTTCAAAATTCAGATATCAGGTTCACAGACATGATTAAATGCACTCTGCTGATGCTCCTTATTATTTTCTAATCGCTATCAATTTGAGAGTAAATATATATTTTAAAGACGTTTTTCTTAATGTCATGCCGAAGCAGAATTGAATGTTCATTATACAAATATTTCCAGTCAAACTGTTCCATTTAATGTATCTGTTAATCTCTGATAGCAAATTTCGTATGATAAAGGTCTTATACACACTATTTGATTAATGTTCTAAGCTGAACTCTCATGAAAAGAAATAAGATGCTGTAAAATTGCTTTTGATCTCTCTTTTTGATCTCTTGCACTTTCAGCAGCTTCCCAATTGCCCCAATGAAGACTGTCAATATTGTGTTTTAGGGCTGTATCAGGTTGTAACTGATATGCTAATTTCAGCCAAAAAAAAAAAAAAAAAAAGGCTTCTGTGTAGAGTTCATAATTTGGTCTTTTCAAAACAATAAATGAGAAATATATGACTCATCTAATGGTCTGACACATCAGTGTTTAGTTAAATGTGGTACAAATGCATAGCTGAGTTATTTGAAATATTCAATCAAGATTTTAACTTTTTATTAGAGACTTGTGTGACTAACTTCTGTCTTGTTGGGAATAATCTGTGAAGACTGATAACTTCCATCTATTCATGTGAACTAACCAGAGCAGCCAAAGGATACACTAGGAAAAAATACCATAAGATGAGTAATCCCATTTTCACCTAATATTTCTACAATATCTACTGGAATTTGCTGGACACCAATTTAATTAAGCGATCATCACCAAGTTAGTAATTTGGAACCTACATAGGTAGGCAGACAAGAACTTGGTGAGTGTGGGGACTTTCTAAGAAAGTATCATTAAATGTTGCTACTTTATAGGTATAAATACAGCTATACTTTATGTTAATAAAGTATGTTTATTCTACACCAGACCATTAATCAATCCATAGTTCCATAATTGTATTTTAGGTTAAATTATTCAAGTTTCCATAGTCTTACTCTTATATGATTTGAAGTCTAAATTAAATAGGTTACCTAGTTTAACAAAGATCAGGTTTAAACAAATTGTTATTACTAATCTAGGATTGCAATTAGAATAAAATGTTGAAAAAAACACAATTCTCGGTCAATGAAACAAACTGTCCTCAGTGGCACAAAAATATTCTTTGTTTTTTAAAATGCTGCCTGTACAGCAATACAGAGCTCATGATATCAACAACCATTAAACAATGACAAGTGACTTTAATTTGCTGTAGGATTTCTAATTAACCAGTAAGTGTAGCATTTTTTTGTATTATCAGTTTATTGCCACATCAGTAAAATGAGTGTAATGACCACCTTACACTGGTTCAGTCAGCAATAGGCAGTAGAAAGTCTATTTTTCTTC
This sequence comes from Homo sapiens, assembly GCF_000001405.40. Lineage (NCBI taxonomy): Eukaryota > Metazoa > Chordata > Mammalia > Primates > Hominidae > Homo > Homo sapiens. The sequence continues at coordinate 5,705,070 of NC_000024.10, read as the reverse complement.
TTTAGAAGTAGTATTTGATGAATATTGCAATTAAGTCCTGTTATTTTTTAAAAGCCTCTGAATTACCTTAGCAACTAAAAATAACCCATGAATAATATTATTGAATATTATGTTACATACTATTCTTTATCATGTAACTGTAAAGTATTTTTAAACACCCAAAGCTATCCAAAGTTAAAATACAATGTACAGAAAAGCCAAACTTTTAATTCATCATTTTATATTTTATGATATTATGGGTATTATTGAAATAATGCACTCAATTTTGATATCACATTTGATGCAAAATGTTCTCATGCTTTGGGTTTAGTGATTCAAAGTATTCTTCAGAAAGCACTATTTGGCCGGGCGCGGTGGCTCACGCCTGTAATCCCAGCACTTTGGGAGGCCGAGGCGGGTGGATCATGAGGTCAGGAGATCGAGACCATCCTGGCTAACACAGTGAAACCCCGTCTCTACCAAAAATACAAAAAATTAGCTAGGCTTGGTGGTGGGCGCTGTAGTCCCAGCTACTCGGGAGGCTGAGGCAGGAGAATGGCATGAACCCGGGAGGCGGAGCTTGCAGTGAGCCGAGATAGCACCGCTGCATTCCAGCCTGGGCGACAGAGCGAGACTCTGTCCCAAAAAAAAAAAAAAAGAAAAAAAAGAAAGCACTATTTACATTTGGCTTTTGAATTTGGAAAGGACAATTAATATGGTTTGGATCTGTGACCCTGCCCAAATCTCAAGTGGAATTGTAATCCCCGGTGTTGGAGGCAGGGGGCCTGGTGGGAGGTGATCGGATTACGGGGATGAATCCTTCATGAATGCGCTAATCCATCCTCTTGATGCTGTTCTTGTGATAGTGAGTGAGATCTGCTTGTTTAAAAGTGTGTAGCACCCCCCTTTCCTGCTCCAGTTATGTACAGTGCTGACTGCACTTTGCCTTCTGCCATGATTGTAAGCTTTCTGAGGTCTACCCAGAAACCCAGCAGATGCCAGCATCCTGCATCCTGTACAGCCCATGGGACTGTATAACCAACATGGAGAAACCCTGCCTCTACTAAAAATACAAATTAGCTGGGCATGATGGCACACGCCTGTAATCCCAGCTACTCTGGAAGCTGAGGCAGGAGAATCACTTGTACCCCCGAGGCAGAGATTGTGGTGAGCCCTGATTGTGCCATTACACTTCAGCCTGGGCAACAAGAGCAAAATTCTGTCTCAAAAAAAAAAAAAAAAGGAAAAAAAGAGAATAATGCTGGCCTTAAAAATGAGTTGTCATGATTACTTTCCACTTGTATTTTTTGAAAACAACTTATGTAGAATTGTTATCCTTTCTTTCATAAATATTTGCCAAACTTCACCTGAGAAGCCATCTAGAACTGGAGTTTTCTTTAGGGGAATATTTTTAACAACAAAGTTAATCCCTTTAATAAACACAGAACTATTTCGATTATGTATCTTCCTTTTGAGAGAGATTTGGTAGCTCCTGCCTTTCAATAAATTTGTCTATCTCTTCTAAATTGTTTAATTTCTTTGGGAAAAAGTTGTTCATAATTATTTTCTGATGATCTTTTCACCATCTGTAGGATCTGAGAAGATACTGTCTTTTATTACTGATAATGGTGATTTTTGCTTTCATATATTTTTTGATCAGTCTAGCTGAGGGTATATCAAATTTTATTAAATATTTCAAAAGATGAACATTTGGCTTGTTAATTTTCTCAAATATTTGTTTTCTATATTGTTGAGAAATTCATAATTTCTTTATCCTTGCTTTGGGTTTATTTTGCACTTATTTTTCCAGCTTCTTAATGTAAAATCTTACAACACTAATTTTAGATTTCCCCTCATCACTAATATAATTATTTAAAGTTTTAATATTTACTCTGGACACGGTTTTAGTTAGTTGCATCCCATAAATTTTGATATATTTTATTTTTATTACAATTCCATTTAAAATATTTTCTTACTTTTTTATTTCATCATTGTCTCATCAAAGTATATTGTTTAATTTCCAAATATTGTGATTTTTCCAAGACAGCTTATTATTTATATTTTAATTCCATTAACATAAATAAACATATTCTGTGTGCTTTCAATTCATTTGAATTCAATAAGTTTTTTAATAACCTAGAAAATAGTTGTAATAGTGCATTTTCATGCTGCTGATAAAGACATACCCAAGACTCAGTAATTTATAAAGAAAAAGAGGTTTAATAAACTTACAGTTCCACGTGGCTGAGGAGGCCTCACAATCATGGCAAAAAGTGAAAGGCAAATCTTACACTGAAGCAGGCAAGAGAGAATGAAGGCCAAGCAAAAGAGGTTTCCCCTTTTAAAACCATCAGATCTTGTGAGACTTATTCACTACCATGAGAATAGTATGGGGGAAACTGCCACCATGATTCAATTGTCTCCAACTGAGTCCCTCCCATAACGTGGGAATTATGGGAGCTACAATTCAAGATGAGATTTGGTGGGAACACAGAGCCAAACCATATCGTTTCTCCCCTGCCCCTCCCAAATTTCATGTCTTCACATTTCAAAACCAATCATGCCTTCCCAACAGTTCCCCAAAGTCTTAACTCATTTTAGCATTAACTTAAAAGTCCACAGTCCAAGGCCAGGTGCAGTGGCTCATGCCTGTAATCCCAGAACTTTGGGAGGCCAAGGCAGGAAGATCATCTAAGGTTGGGAGTTCGAGACTAGCCTGACCAACATGGAGAAACCCCATCTCTACTAAAAATACACAAAATTAGCCAGGCATGATGGTGCATGCCTGTAATCCCAGCTACTCAGGAGGCTGAGGCAGGAGAATCGCTTGAACCTGGGAGGCGGAGGTTGCAGTGAGCCGAGATCACACCACTGCACTCCAGCCTGGGCGACAGAGAGAGAATCCATCTAAAAAAAAAAAAAATCCACAGTCCAAAGTCTGATCTGAGATAAGGCAAGTCCCTTCCACCTATGAGACTAAAATCAAAAGCAAGTTTGCTATTTCCTAGATACAACAGGAGTATAGGCATTGGATAAATACACTCATTCCAAATGGAAGACATTGGCCAAAACAAAGGGACTACAGGCCCCATGCAATTCTAGAATCCAGTGGGGCAGTGAAATCTTAAAGCATCAAAATGATCTCCTTTGACTCCATGTCTCACATCCAGGTCACGCTAATGCAAGAGGTGAGTTCCCATAGTCTTGGTCAGCTCCACCCCTGTGGCTTTGCAGGGTACAGCCTCCCTCCTGGATGCTTTCATGGGCTGGTGTTGAGTGTCTGTGGCTTTTCCCAGTGCATGGTGCAAGCTATTGGTGGATGTACTATTATGGGGCCTGGAGGATGGTGATCCTCTTCTTATAGTTCCACTAGGCACTGCCTCAGTGGGGACTTTGTGTGGGGGCTTCAACCCCACATTTTCTTTCTGCACTGCTCTAGCAGAAGTTCTCAATGAGGACCCTGCTCCTGAAGCAAACTTCTACCTGGACATCTAGGCATTTCCATACACACTCTGAAATCTAGGTGGAGGTTCCAAAACCTCAATTCTTGACTTCTGTGCACTCACAGGCTCAACACCACGTGGAAGCTGCCAAGGCTTGGGGCTTGCATCTTCTGAAGCCATGGCCAAAGCTGTATCTTGGTCCCTTTTAGGGATGGCTAGAGCAGCCGGGACACAGAGAACCAAGTCCCTAGCCTGTGCATAACAGGGGGACCCTGGGCCGGGACCACAAACCTATTTTTTTTTTCTAGGCCTTTAGGTCTGTGATCAAATGTCTCTGAAATGCTTTGGAGACATTTTCCCTGTTGTCTTGGGGATTAACATTTGGCTCCTGGTTACTTATGCAGATTTCTGAAGCCGGCTTGAATTTCTCCTCAGAAAATGGATTTTTCTTTTCTATCAATCATCAGGCTGCAAATTTTCTGAACTTTTATTCTCTGTTTCCCTTTTAAAACTGAATGTTTTTAACAGCACTGAAGTCACCTTTTGAATGCTTTGCTGCTTAGAAATTTCTTCTGCCAGATACCCTAAATTATCTCCCTCAATTTCAAAGTTACACAAATCTCTAGGGCAGGGGCAAAATGCCACCAGTCTCTTTGCTAAAACATAGCAAGAGTCACCTTTACTCCAGTGTTCAACAAGTTCCTCATCTCCATCTGAGACCACCTGAGCCTGGACTTTATTGTCCATATTACTGTCAGCATTTTGTTAGAAGCCATTCATTAGGTCTCTAGGAAGTTCTAAACATTCCCACATTTTTCTATCTGCTTCAGAGCCCTCCAAACTGTTCCAATCTCTGCCTGTTACTTAATACCAAAGTCATGTCCCACATTTGCAAGCATTTTTACAGCAGCACCCCACTCTCAGTACCAATTTACTGTATTAGTTCGTTTTCACACTGCTGATAAAGACATGCCCAAGACTGCGTAATTTATAAAGAAAAAGAGGTTTAATGGACTCACAGTTCACGTGGCTGGGGAGGCCTCACAATCATGGTGGAAGCAAAAGGCATGTTTTACATGGCAATAGGCAAGAGAGAATGAGGGCCAAGGGAAAGAGCTTTCCCCTTATAAAACCATCAGATCTCATGAGACTTATTCACTAGCATGAGAGCAGTATGGGCAAAAACTATCCCCGTTACTCAATTATCCTACACTGGGTCACTCCCACAACATGTGGGAATTATGGGAGCTACAATTCAAGATAAGATTTGGGTGGGGACACAGACAGAACATATCAATGGTCTACCTTGGTTAATGTACCATGTGCACTTAAAAAAAGGTGCATATTCTATAGTTTTGGGATATAGTGTTTGTCTATGTATAAGTATCCAAGTAGGTCAATGTGTTTGTTGGTATTGTTTAGACCCACTATTTCTTACAGATTTTTTTTCTCTATTTATTCTATCAATTGCAAAATGAAACATGTTAAAAAATCCTACTATGGAGGAGAAGTCAAGATTGCTGATTAGAAGAAATGGTGGTCAGCAGCTCTCACCAAGAAAAATGAACTCAGTGAGTGAATCCTGCACCTTCAACTGAAGTATCCAGGTTCTCTCACTGGGACTGACTAGGTTGTTGGCATGACCCACAGAGAGTGAGGAAAAGCAGGGTTGAGCAATGGCCCACCCAGGAGCCACACGGGGCAAGGGGAGCTCCCACCTCCACCCAAGAGAGGCAGTGAGTGATTGTGTTACCAAACTCGGGAAATCATACTTTTTCCATGGATCTATGCAACCTGCTGATCAGGAGATCCCTTCATGAGCCCAGGCTACCAAGGACTTGGGTCCCAAGCACAGAGCTGTGCAGACTCTCGGCAGCCACTTGGGTTGTGGCCAGTGGCAGCAGGTTGGAGAGTGCCTAAATGACTGAGATCCCAGGGGGAGGGCCAACCACCAACACTGCAGCTTCAGTAGGCTTTTTTTTCCCTGCCAGTGAGAGGGAGACTGGGCTGCTTGGACCGGAAGAAATTCCCCACAGCACCGCACAGTGGCTGTGGCAGATCATGGCCTGACTACTTCTTTAGATGGGACTAGGATCCATCCCTCTTCACTGAGTCGGGCCTCCTTGTCGAAATTTCAGCACCTCCAGCCAGTTTACAGATAGAACTCTGATATCCCTGAGACAGAGCCCCTGATGAGATGGGCAGCCACAGTCTCCATGGATCAGCAGACTTAGTTTTTCCTGCCTGCTGGCTCTGAGAAGTCCAGGCAGTCCAGATGAGGGGGATCCTCCCCAGTGTAGAATACCTACTCGGCCAAGGGGCATCCAGGGTACTTTGTTGAGTGGGTCCCTGATCTCATGCCCTTTGACTGTATGAGATGCTCCAACAGGGGTTACCAGACACCTTATATAGGAGCATTCCAGCTGGCATAAGTTCAGTGCCCCTCTGGGACAAAGCTCCCAGAGGAAGGAGCAGGCAGCCATCTTTGCTGTTCTGCAGCCTCCACTGGTGACACCTCCAGGTGTGGGAGTGTCCCAGGTGAATAGGGTCTGGAGTGGACCCCCAGCAATCGCAACAGCCCTACAGAAGAGGAGCTTGACTGTTAAAAGAAAAGCAAGCAAACAGAAAGCAGCAACATCAACAAAAGACCCCACAAAAACTCCATCCAAAGTTCAGCAGCCTCTAAGATCCAAGGTAGATAAGCTCATGGAGATGAGAAAGAATCAATGCAAAAATGCTGAAAACTCAAAAAGCCACAGTGCCTCCTCTCCAAATTATCACAACATCTCTTTAGCAAGCACTCAGAACTGGACTGAGGCTGAGATGGCTGAACTGACAGAAGTAGGTTTCAGAAGGTAGGTAATAATGAAATTTGCTGAGCTAAAGACGTATGTTCCAACCCAATGCAAAGAAGCTAAGAACCATGATAAAACATTCCAGGAGCTGTTATGCAGAATAACCAGTTTAGAGAGAAAAACAAATGACCCGATGGAGCTGAAAAACACAAGAACGTCACAATTCAACCACAAGTAGCAATAGCTGGATAGACCAAACAGAAGAAAAGATACAGAGTTTGAAGATTATCTTGCCAAAATTAGACAGGCAGACAAGATTAGAGAAATAAAGAATAAAAAGGAATGAATAAAACCTCTGAGAACTATCAAATTATGTAAAAAGACCAAACCTAAAACTGATTGGGGTGCCTGAAAGAGAGGAGGGAAATGGAATCAAGTTGAAAAACATACTTCAAGATATCATCCAGAAGAACTTCCCCAACCTAGCAAGACAGGCCAGCATTCAAATTCAGGAAATCTGGAGAACCCCAGTAAGATACTCCATGAGAAGATCAAACCCAAGACACATAATCATCAGTTCCCCAAGGTGGAAGTGAAGGAAAAAAATATTAAGGACAGCCCATGAGAAAGGCCAGGTCACCTATAAAGGGAAGACCATCAGACTAGCAGAGGACCTCTCAGTGATAACTCTACAAGCCAGAAAAGATTGGGAGCCAATATTCAACATTCTTAAAGAAAGAATTGCCAACCCGGAATTTCTTATCTGGCCTAACTAAGCTTCATAAGTGAAGGAGAAATAAAATACTTTTCAGACATGCAATTGCTGAGGGAATTCATCACCATTAGGTCTCCTTTGAAAGAGCTACTGAAAGAAGCACTAAATATGGAAAGGAAGCACCATTATGATCCACTACAAAAACACACTGAAGTACACAGACCAATGAAACTATGAAGCAACTACATTAACAAGTCTATAAAATAACTAGCTAGCATCATGATGACAGGATCCAATTCATACATAACCATATTAAACTTAAATGTAAATGGGCTAAATCCCCCAATTAAAAGACACAAAATGGCAAGGTGGATAGAGTCAAGACCCACCAGAGTGGTGTATTCAAGAGAACCATCTCACATGCAAAGACACACATAGGCTCAAAATAAAGGGATAGAGAAAAAATTACCAAGCAAATAGAAAGCAGAAAAAAGCAGGGGTTGCAATCCTAGTTTCTGAAAAAAAGATTATTTAAACAAACAGTAATCAAAAAAGACAAAGAAGGGCATTACTAATGGTAAAGGCTTCAAATCAACAAGAAGAGCTAGTTATCCAAGAGCACCCAGATTCATAAAACAAATTCTTAGAGACCTCCAAAGAGACTTAGACTCCCACACAATAATAGTGAGAGATCTATTTATTTATTTTTATTATACATTAAGTTCTGAGATACATGTGCAGAACGTGCAGGTTTGTTACATAGGTATACACGTGTCTTGGTGGTTTGCTGCACCCATCAACTCATCATCTCCATTAGGTATTTCTCCTAATGCTATCCCTCCCCTAGCCCCCCATCCCCCAATAGACCTCAGTGTGTGATGTTCCCCTCCCTGTGTCCATGTGTTCTCATTGTTCAACTCTAGTGGGAGACTTTAACACCCCACTGACAATATTAGATCAATCCTTGAGACAGAATATTAACAAAAATTTTCAGGGCTTGATCTCAGCTCCGGATCAAGTGGACCTGATAAATATCTACAGAGCTCTTTACCCAAAAACAACAGAATATACATTCTTTGCCACATGGCACTTACTATAAAACTGATCACATAATTGGAAGTAAAATACTCCTCAGCAAGTACAAAGGAACTGAAATTATAATAAACAATCTCTCAGACCACAGCACAATCAAATTAGAACTCAAAATTAAGAAACTCACTCAAAACTATACAACTACATGGAAATTGAACAACCTGCTTTTGAATGACTCCTGGGTAAATAAGAAGATTAAGACAGAAATTAAGTTATTTGAAACTAATGAGAACAAAGATAATGTACCAGAATCCCTGGGACATAGGTAAAGCAATGTTAAGAGAACATTTCACAGCACTAAATGCCCACATTGAAAAGCTAGAAAGATCTCAAGCTGACATTCTAATATCACAACTGAAAGAACTAGAGAACCAAAAGCAAACAAACCCCAAAGTTAGCAGAAGACAAGAAATAACTAAGATCAGAGTGGACCTGAAAAAGATAGAAAAAAAAATCTCTTCAAAAACTCAACTAATCTTGGAGCTGGTTTTTTGAAAAAAGTTAATAAAATAGAGAAACCACTAGCTAGAATAATAAAGAAGAAAATAGAATATTCAAATGAACATATTCAGAAATGATAAGGGGGATACCACCACTGACTCCACAGAAATACAAACAACCATCAGAGAATACTATAAACACCTCTATGCACATAAACTAGAAAAATCTAGAAGAAACTGATAAATTTCTGGACACATGCACCCTCCCAAGCCTGAACCAGAAAAAAGTTGAATCTCTGAATGGACCAATAATGAGTTCTAAAATTGAGAAAGTAATAAATAACCTACCAACCAAAAAAAGTCTAGGAGCAGATGGATTTACAGCTGAATTCTACCAGAGGTACAAAGGAGAACTGCTACTACTTTTTCTGAAACTATTCCAAACCATGGAAAAGGAGGGACAACTCCCCAACTAATTCTATGAGACCAACATCATCCAAAGAAAACAAAACAAAAGCTAAAGAATATAATAAATACCAGAACTGCCCTGCAAGAAATGTTACAGGAAATATTTCAGTCAGAAAGAAAAGAAAGATAATAAGCCTTAAGTAATCACCTGAAAGTATAAAATTTACTACTAGTAGTAATTACACAGCTAAAACAGTATTATAACACTGTAACTGTAGTGTATAAACTACTGTTTTCCTAAGTAAAAAACTAAATGATGAAGCAATAAAAAATAATAACTACAACAACTTTCAAGACATAGACAGTACAATAAGATATAAATAGAAACAACAGAAAGTAAAAAAACAGGCAAACAAAATTAAGGCATTGTTTTTATTACTTTTCTTTTTGTGTGCTTTTTTTGTTCATGCAAACAGTGTTATTATCAGCTTGAAATAATCACTTATAGGATGATATTTACAAGCCTCGTGGTAATTTCAAACCAAAAGCATACAAAGAATACACAAAAAGTTAAAAACAAGAAACTAATTTGTGTCACCAGAGAAAATCACCTTCAATAAACAAAATACAGGAAAGCAAAAAGAAAGAAAAAGCCACAAATCCACAAGAAAACTAATAACAAAACAGCAGGAGCAAGTCTTTACTTATCAATAATAACATTGTATGTAAATTTACTAAACTCTCCAATGAAAAGACATAGAATGGCTTAATGGATTGAAAAAAAAAAAGACTCATTGATCTGTTGTCTAAAAGAAACACACTTATAAAGAAACACACCTATGAAGGCACATAGCCAGGAAATAAGGGGATAGAAAAATATATCTGCCAAAAATATACCTGCCAATGAAAATAAAAAAAAAAAGAGCAGAACAGTTATATAAGACAAGATAGGTATCAAGACAAAAACTATAAGAGACAAAGAAAGTCGCTGCATAATGACGAAGTGGTCAGTTCAGCAAGAGGATGTAATGATTTTAAATATACATGAACCCAACCCTGGAGCACCTATATATATGTATATATAGCACCTGTGTGTGTGTGTGTGTGTGTGTGTGTGTGTGTATACACCAGGTTACCTACAAAATTCCGTTCTAGGAAGACCAACTAGTTTTTGTCAGTGCATGATACTAGGAGTCACAAGCTTCAATATGTTGAAATGATGAGTCAAGTTAAGGAACAACAAAACAGATCAGACCCAAAAGACTGGTATAGTTTACCTGTGAAGCTAATTGGATTCATTGTGTTCTGAAAATATATTTGTTGGAATTTGGGAAGAATGAGGAAGTTGAGTTAGTAAGTAAATATGGTAACAATTGAATTTAATCTATAGTTACAATCAGTCATTTCAGTCATAAGTCTACACAAACATAATAGTAGACAACAGTTTTTGAATAATAAGCTCACACTTTACTAATGAACCTATGATAATATATTATTTTATAAAGTCAATTGTAGCCTAAGGTAAAAGACAAAAGTGAAAAAGACCACAAAGTCTATTTTTGCACATCACCTTATTTTCAATAATTTATAATAATTTTTCACCATATAAAATTATTAAATTTTTAAAATTTAAATTAGCAAATTTTCACCATATAAAAATTATTAAAAATTAAAAACAAACCCTGAAAGGTGTTAAAATATTTAAATAGAGTGTAATTTAATTAATAACAAAATAGAAATAAAACATAGCCTGTAATACCAGATTGGCATAGATGAAATAATTAAATTATCCATGATATATTCAAACTATGCATTTGTTTATTTACGTACATAATGTACTCATAAAATTATCTTACACGTACATGCATATGCCCAAATTTAAGTAAATATATATATAGTATGATTGATTTCAAATAAAATAATGTAGCAAACCAAATAGAATGAAGTGATGAAAAACGGCATACTTGTTTTTCTTATATTTTAAGCATTCTGGAATATTTAACTTATCTAAAATACCAAAAGCAGTGCACTTTTACAGTCATATAATAGCATTACCGTATGTTTGAGACATTTTTTCCAAAATGTTTTCAGTTTTGAAGTATTCATGTTAGCCTGCTGAACCAAACTTCTAAGGGTTAAGTGAAAAAAACTACCAACCAAACACACAGTATTTTTTGTAATCTTCAAATGCAGAACATCTACCTCTCAAAACATCTAATATAGTTGACTGTCAAAAACAAATTTTTGTAAATGTATGTGCAATAACTGAAATCACATAAACAACTACTTAGCCCAGTAGTTAGTAAGTCTAATCACTTCATGCCTGTGCACTCGATATGAGGAAACAACAATTAAATTAATTCCACTAGATGACAATATTAAAAATACTTGAAGGGCATTTCAATAACTGAAAATTAACTGACGGGTTTATTATATTATTTTGAAAAAAATGAATTATTGCTCTCTTGTCTTCTAAATATTCTCTTCATGTATTGGGAGATATATAAGCATCCTAAAAATGTGATTTAAATTGTGGCTAAGGATTTTCATGTTTCCACTCCATGAAACTCTAATAACTACGGTAATTAACTTAGCACTTGGGTATTATCAAGCTGAGCTAATACGACATAAAGAAGGTATTTCACATTTGTTGGTCTTGATAAATTGAACATAAATTATCAGAGTGAACATCTTTTATATAAAGAAAATGTAACTATTTCTCCCCAGAATTAGTCAGATGACCATTCACTAATTTCGCTGAAACTTTCATTCTTGATTTTAAGAAATAGCAGACTCTCCATTTGCAATATGACAGAACAGTTAATGGCATTGGAAGTTTATTTCCCAGGGCATGACAAGAATGCTTTTAGTGCTTAAAAGTGAAACTGTTTTCCAAAGAAAAGAGGAAGTTATTCACTTAACTCCCCACATTGTTACTGAAATAATTTGGAAGGATTCCTATCTCACAAAGTTGGTAATGGTTGCACTGTATTTGCAGTATGAGAAAGGATTTATGCATTGTAAATACTACAATTCTGCGGGAAAAGCCATTCAGTCTTAAATGAGGCACACGAATCATACCTAACAGCATTAAAAACTACCTTACTTTGCATGAACATGCATTTAAACTGTAGTTTTCTCTGTGGAATAGGGAATGTTCAATTTTAGCTAAGATAATCTGCATAAAAAAGGACTAATTTACATTCTCATGACTGCCTCTGTTATTCTCATCTTAAGCACATATTTATAATTATGAAAAGCCTATAGTATTTTCTTTACATTAGGATCTTACAAAACTTTACCTTATTTTTATGTTACACTCTATTATTATTATTTCCATGAAACTGGCAAAATTTAAAGACAAAATGGGTATTTATGAAATAAATATGGAAGTGTCTATGTAATTAAAATTATTTAAAAGATTTTTGGTTAAAATAGCTTTTTGATTTCTTTACAAACATAAGTAAAAACTTTAGAGTTCTTTTACAACTGAACTGGTGTAAATATGTATTACCATCCTACTATAATTGCTGCACATGGTTCATGATACTTTAAATGAGTGTCCACTCAGAACTCAAGCATGAGTTTGTCAGTTTTTAGTTGACCTTATAAAGGGAATAATGCTGAATAATAGCTCTTTATTTTTTCTATTTTACTTTATTATGGACTGTTCAATAAATGTCAGGGCAATTGCTTTTCCTCCAAAACCAATTCCCTTAAAATGAATTGAAGATTGTTTTTCTTTCTTGAAAAGAACTGAAGACACCTAAAGGGTCATCTAGTAATATTACAGAATAGAAAACCAAGGCAAAGTAAAGTCACCTCCCCAAGTGCTCAAAAATCATGGCAAAGGCAGGCCTAGAACCCTACTTTCCTCATTCCTAATACAGCGTTTGTCTAACTACCATTTCCTCTTGTGGGATAGTAGGGACAACATGCATTGTGGTACATTCCCCATTCAAAAGCATTCAATTCATATTCAGAAGGTAGAATGATTTTTGGTTTCAAGTTAGAATAAAATTTTTCAGAATTTCATCACAGCTTGCATTCAGATCTTTTCTGAAAAATAATATGAATTAATTCTCTAAATTCCTGAGCTTGTTTATTTCGTATTTATTTATTTATTTATTTTTGAGATGGAGTGTCACTCTGTCACCCAGGCTAAAGTGCAGTGCCGTGATCTCGGCTCATTGCAACCTCTGCCTCCCAGATTCAAGGGATTCTCTTGCCTCAGCCTCCCAAGTAGCTGGGATTACAGGTGCACACCACCACACCTGGCTAATTTTTGTATTTTCAGTACATACAGGGTTTCCCTATGTTGGCCAGGCTGGTCTCAAACTCCTGACCTCAAGTGATCCACCTGCCTCAGCCTACCAAAGTGCTGGGATTACAGGGCTGAGCCACTGCGCCTGGCCAGCCACAGGGCCCAGCCCTCAGTTTGTTTTTTAAAAATTGCCTTTCACTTTTCTAATTTACTTTTCACTATTTGATGAGATTAAAGGATAGTTAAGATACTACACAAATAAAATAGTAATAACATTTTGGCTGCTGAAAAAATGTACTCCTATATTTTAGACATAAATTCATAAAATTCAACCAGTCTTGCAGTTGGTCATCAGCAGTCAGACAGTCAAGCAGTTTATTACTTTTCTTCCTGCTCTTTAGAATATAAGCCACAACTGGGCAATTCTCAGATGTATTTACTAGTTTTCCGCTGCTCACATCCATTACATAAGACGTGCCTACTAAGAACTGCTCTCAACTCTAATAAAATCAATGACTATGGCAGAGAAACTTCTGATTTATAATTTGCAATAAGAAGTTTCATAGTGACATGACTTAGTTTTTAAGCTTTATTTCTAATGAAAGCACACAGTGACTGTAATCTACATTACAATTAATGTAATCAGCATTAGAATGTTAAAGAGGACATTTTAAGTCACATTTCAGAACGTTATTTACAATTCATTCTACATTTTATCTACACATATATAATCAAGTTTAATTTGAAGGCCTAATTTAGTTATTTTTTCCACATATCAAACACAGTTTGAAAATTTTATTGTTTCATTGTTCATTTGTTTAATATTATGATTTTCAAATATTCTATTTAACCAACCCTATTAAATATTGGTCCCATCCAACATTTGCCATTTATCCTTCCTTCCTACTGAGCCTAGTGACAGAGAAAGGCTGAGAACATAGGAAGTAGGGTGGAAAGTTGAGGAATGGTGATAGTGGTGAATAACTGTTGAAGCTTGCAATAAATATAAGCAAGTTCTCAGTAGGGATTCCTATTAAACCTAGCCTAAATCAAATAAAATTACTGGATCATATACAGCACCACTTTTCTTTTAGAATCGACATCATTCTGACTCATTACGGCAATTCTTGTATCTGGGACTTCAAGTAAGCCTGCAATATTTATTATGCCAAATAGTTAATAAAGAACGCAGACTGCTTTCTTTGCATACAATTTTGAGTTATGCTCCAACAAACTCCACACACTTTTATTACATCTTATTATATCATCAAATATCAACTTCATATTTTTTCACCAATTCATCTCCCTTAATACTAATTCGATATTTAATTACTAAATATTATTTTATTTTAAAGTATTTACCTTAAATTTATAAATTAAATTTTATTTTACTAAAATACTAATTTAATAGCAATTAAAAACTTAATGAAAAATAGTAATTAGGTTTGTGTATCCTGGCCAAAGTCACAAAGTAAACAGAGCAGCCGTACATTGCTCCTTATAATACATAAATGGAAATTGTAAGCATGTGATCAAGCTCTTCCCAGAAAAAAACAGTCATCAAAACAAATGAGAGCTAATTTAAAACACTCATTCTGTGCTTCATTCAATATTGTGCCCAGGAATAAAAAGTAAAGGTTAATTCTGGTTTTACAAAAACCTTTCAGTTAGCTCTGTCATCAATTTGAAAACAATGTAAGGTAATTTCTATAAATTATAAAAACTCATCAAAGATATTTTTTATTATCTTTACAATTCAATTTAAAAATGTCAATTTTTTAAAAAGAGGCCTTCAAATGAATCATATCTATGTGTTTATTCTTTTTTCTCTCTTCTTATTTATGTTCTAAATATGCATTCCCCATAATACCGTTTCTATGTCTATAGTTAATTCATTATAGAACAGTGCTTCCATTCAAGCTCAAGTTAGCAGAATATATTCATCAAAAATAATTGGACTTGAGAAGATAGATTTAGATTATGACAGAGAATAACTCATTATGGTTATTAACAATCTTCTCACCAACTGAGCTGTTTGAGAGTTGGAAGGTAAAAATATTATGCTGGAGTACCCTGGGGTAGGCATAGTTAGAAAATTGAGCTGAAATAAAGCTAAAATATGCAGGTTTCCCAGTATTAAATTTCATGACATTTAAAAAATTATCTTCTCTCTCCCTCCTACCCTAATGCTATAATGATCAGTAAGATCACCTAATTACTTTTGCATACAGTGAAGAGTTACAGTTTTGTAATGGCACCTCAAAGGAGCAACCTCAGTAACAGTGACTCATTTAGCTGTTTAGAAATTCCGTTGATTCACGGGGGTTACAAGCTGTTGCTCAATAGACTAATATGATCAAGTAATTTATGTTAAACAAAACATCATTTTTCTCTTGATAAACTATAACAGTATTTCATAAAATATGGATTAATATAGTTTCAAAATATGGCAACGATTACTATTAAATGTGTTCTAGCAAGACACGCACATTAAAAATATAACTGTACACTTGTGTAGACAAAATGTTTTATTGCATATGGTAGAACTTAAACTCTATCATGTAAAAACAACAGAGTATATGAATGTAAGTTCATTGATGTACTATAGCTCCTGCAAAATTTAAATGATTACCACCACAGTTAAACTGATGTGAAACATGTAAAAATAGCACAAGATATTATATTTCAACAAACATATACTTTCTTTTTTCTGGTTTTTTTTTTTTTTTTTTTTTTTGAGACTGAGTCTCACTCTGTCACCCAGGCTGGAGTACAATGGTGCGATCTCGGCTCACTGCAACCTCCGCTTCCCAGGTTCAAGTGATTCTCCTGCCTCAGCCTCCTGAGTGGCTGGGATTACAGGTGCGCACCACCACATATGGCTAATTTTTGTATTTTTAGTAGAGAGGGGGTTTCACCATGTTGTTCAGGCTGGTCTCGAACTCCTGACCTCCTGATCTGCCCACCTCGGCCTCCCCAAGTGCTGGGATTACAGGAGTGAGCCACTGTACCCGGCCAATGAACACATAATTCCAAATGTTAATTTACTCAAAGAAATCAAAATACAATGGAAGGCATACAGTGGAATATACCATTAAAAATCAAAATATCAAAAAATAGTTAATGACACTGGAAGAGCTCATGGTATAATGTTAAGTTAAAAAAAGGAAGACATCAAGTAATAAAATGATTGTAATAAATCACTGTATCACACCACCATTTTAGCAATGATTATACCTGCGTGATTTTTATTTTTAATGTTTTCTATATGTTTAGTATTTTCTACAATTTTATCTGAGTGTGCATTAACCCATGAACAAAATAAATCACAAGTGTGTTGAGGTGGCCCTTAATAAAGGATTAATGACATTTTTTTAAAAGCCACATAAATGTCAAATACAGTGTCTGCTGCATGCCTTGCAATGTTTTATTTAATTATAACAGCAACCCTATAAAGTATTGTTATTTTAATTCAAATACTCATCAAGTATTTAATGAAGAAACTGAAAATCAGGAGGTTAAATAAATTTCTAAGGCCAAAGAGCTAATTAAGCAAAAGAAACAGGATTTAAGTCATTGCCCATGGCTCAAAATTTTGTACTCTTTCACTCTTAGCACAATACCTCTCCAATGATTAATGAATAAATTATATTATAAATATGTACCAATTTACCAACTCTTTCCTTTAAATTTAAATAACAATAATGAACCAGAAATATAAATTTTAATTAGTGAAGATTCCCGAGCAAAGTTGAGGGAAAGGTTCCATTATCTTTGAACATGAGAGAGAAATGAACTTTAAAAATATTTCTATTATGTAAACATTTAAAATGATAAACAACTACGTAAATTTTACATTGCTTCAGACTGGGAATTTAGAAATTGATAACAATGCAGTAGCGTATTTTTAAAGACGTACAAAATAGCCTGTCCTGTAACTGGCTGGGTTTCTTTGAATGTTTCGTTATTGACTCCTTTTCAGTTTTATTATAATTTTTTTTGCACAATTGTGATACTTCAGGTTGTACACTACCTCTAGAATTCATAATAAAGTGATGCTGGCAGTGAATAAATAGTATTTAAAGATTCTGGATATTTAAATATAGCCTTCGAACAGTTTTAGTGATACTTAAGTATCAATATATTACTCAAAAAGGCAGAGCTTTTTCTGGAATTGACTTACGGTTTATTCTATTATTCCTCATGGATATTTCTTTTATTGTGTGTGGTAGAGAAATTTGCTTTATTGTTAAGTTTCTAATTATTCTGAATATTGACTCTAAAGTGATATAAAAACTATGACTACTATGAATTTTTTTTTTTTTTTTTTGGAGACAGAGTCTCACTCTGTCGCCCAGGCTGGAGTGCAGTGGCGCCATCGCGGCTTACTGCAAGCTCCGCCTCCCACGTTCACGCCGTTCTCCTGCCTCAGCCTCCCGAGTAGCTGGGACTACAAGCGCCCGCCACCACGCCGGGCTAATTTTTTTTGTATTTTTAGTTGAGACAGGTTTCACCGTGTTAGCCAGGATGGTCTCAATCTCCTGACCTAGTGATCTGCCCGCCTCGGCCTCCCAAAGTGCTGGGATTACAGGTGTGAGCCACTGGGCCCAGCCTATGAAAATTTTTGTAGTGTATTGAGGATGGAAGATTTCAGTACATTTGCTCTGAAATACCATCATCTCTGTGCACAAACTAGTACTCAAGTCAGCCAGGGCTTTTTGTATGATCTTTTTTTTCTTCAACTTTTATTTTAAGTTCAGGGGTACATGTACAGGATGTGCAGGTTTGCTACATATGTAAACGTGTGCCATGGTGGTTTGTCCCATGGATCATCCCATCATCTAGGTATGAAGCCCAGCATCCATTAGCTATTTTTCCTGATGCTCTCCCTCCCACCACCCTCCTCCTCCAGCAGGCCCCAGTGTGTGTTGTTCCCACCCATGTGCCCATGTGTTCTCATCATTCAGCTCCCATGTATAAGTGAGAACAAACCAACAGCCAATATAATACTGAATGGGCAAAAGCTGGAAGCATTCCCCATGAAAACCAGCACAAGACAAGGCTGTCCTCTCTCACTACTCCTATTCAATATAGTATTGGAGGTTCTGGCCAGGGCAATCTGGCAGGAGAAGAAAATGTAGCGTATTCAAATAGGAAGAGAGAAAGTCAAATTGTTTTTGTTTGCAGATGACATGATCCTGTATCTAGAAAACCCCATGATCTCAGCCCAAAAGCTTCTTAAGCTGCTAAGCAACTTCAGCAGTCTCAGGATACAAAATCAATGTACAAAAGTCGCTAGCATTCCAATACACCAACAACAGGCAAGCAAAGAGCCAAATCATGAATGATTTCCTATTCACAATTGCTACAAAGAGAAAAATACCTAGGAATACAGCTAACAAAGGAAGGAAGGACTTCTTGAAAGAGAACTACAAACCACTGCTCAAGGAAATCAGGGAGGACACAAACAAATGAAAAAACATCCCTTGCTCATGGATAGGAAGTATCAATATTGTGAAAATGGCCGTACTGCCCCAAATAATTTATTCGTTCAATGCTTATTCCTATTAAAGTACCATTGACATTCTTCACAGAATTAAAAATAAAACTATCTTAAAATTCATATGGAACTAAAAAGGAGCCTGTATAGACCAGAAAATCCTAAGCAAAAAGAACAAAGCTGGAGGCATCATGCTATCTGACTTCAAACTATACTACAAGGCTACGGTAACCAAAACAGCATGGTACTGGTACTAGAACAGACACATAGACCAATGGAACAGAATAGAGAACTCATGAACACTTCTTATCTCTGGTGAAGGATGATTTCCAAGTGTTGCTTTAGGATATTTTAGAGTAATTCTAGTCGTTTAACAAAATATTAAAATTTACAAAATACATGACATTTTGAGTATTTCAGGAAATCAGTGGGGTGCAACAACTCAATAAAAAGTTCATATCACTTTTCTAACTGGCAAAAAGGGAGATGTTAAAGTTAAATGCTCAGTGCCCTTCAAATACTTAGTACTTTTAAAATATGTAACAATAAAGTGAAAATAGGCTTTTTGCATTTTTATACAATTGAAATGTAGGCACATTTTGGAGGGAGTAAGTAGTTTCATTAAGCATTAGTTTCATCATATTCCTCTGGGTAATAAAGTATATTTTAAGGTGTAGAAAAACATTTATTCAGGTGGTTCTTCAAAGGCTGTATTTCTAAATCTGGATTTAGTTCATCTAAATATGCTTAGACAGATGTGTATGTACATGTTTGCTTAAATAACTAAACATTTATTTGTAATTATATTTTCCCTTTCCTTTCTGCATTAATTACAAATCTAAAAGAGGTTAAGATAACTCACTATTTTCAATAAAATATTAATAGAACAAACTTATTCATCATGTTTTGATTTGATAGTTGGCTGTTGCATTCTCAAATGTATTTCACTTGATCATCTAATGTTTAAATAATATAAAATTATAGTTAATAAGTCCATGCTCTACTCTGTTGTGTCTACCAGAGCTTAAATAAATTTGTGATATTGATATGACTTGGTGGATTCGTTTGGATTTCATAGAGCCGACTACTTGGTAATGCTCAAACCAAAACAGCAACCACCACAAAAAGCCAACTTCTTTTTTTTAATTGAACTTTTCCTGTGAAATCCTGTTGACATCATATCTATCTAGATTTTGTATACAAAGTCACACTCACTAGATTAACATTTCAAAAAATTTATAGTATATCTAAAATTTATATCCACCCTTGGTTAATATGAACTAAGCATATTGTTCAAAATTTTTAATTTTTGTAGGTAAATAGCAGGTGTACATATTTATGAGGTACATCAGACATTATGGTACAGGCATGCAATGTGTAATAGTCATACCATGGAATGTTGGGTATCTATCTACTCAGACATTTATCCTTTGTATTACAAACAATCCAATTATACTATTTCAGTTACTATAAAATGTACAATTAAATTATTATTGACTGTAGTCCTCTGTTGTTCTATCAAATAGTAGGTCTTATTCATTTTTTCTAATTGTTTTTGGTTTCTCTTAACCATCCCAGCATTCCCCCCAAACCCCACTACCCTTTCCAGCTACTGGTAACTATCCTTTTACTCTCTATCTCTATAAACTTAATTGTTTTGACTTTTAGATTGCACGAATAAATGAGAATGTGCAATATTTGTGTTTCTGTGCCTGGCTTATTTTACTTAACATAATGACCTCCAGCTCCATCTATGTTGTTGCAAATGATTGGATCTCATTCTTTAATATGGCTGAATAGTACATCATTGTGTATATGTATCACATTTTCTTTATGCATTTATCAGTTGAAAGACCCTTGGGTTGTCTCCAAATATTGGCTATTGTAAACAGTTCTGTAACAAACATGGGAGAGCCAATATCTATTAGATATACTAGTTTTCATTCTTTTGGGTGTGTACCCAGCAGTAGAATTGCTGGATAATATAATAGCTTTTGTTTCTTTCTTTTTTTTTTTATTTTTGAGGAACCTCCAAAGCACTCTCTATTGTGGTTGTACTAATTTACATTCCAACCAACAATGAAAGAGGTTTCCCTTTTCTCCACATACTCACCAGAATTTGTCATTGCCTGACATTTAAAAAAAATTACTTTAACTGGGATGAGATAATATCTTATTATAATTCTAATTTGTGTTTCTCTGATAATCAGTGATGTGAAGCACCTTTTCATATGCCTGTTTGTCATTTGTGTGTATTCTTTTGAGAAATGTCTATTCAGATCTTCTGTTCTTATTTTATCAGATTATAAGATTTTCTTTGTATAGAGTTGTTTGAGCTCCTTATGTATTCTGGTTATTAATCCCTTGTCAAATGGGTAGTTTGCAAATATTTTCTCACACTCTGCAGGTTGTCTCTTCCCTTTGTTTATTGTATCCTTTGCTGTGCAGAAGTTTTAATTTGATGACCAAATCCCATTGGTCCATTTTTGCTTTGGTTGCCTGTGCTTGTGAGGTATTACTTAAGAAATTTCTGCACAGATCAATGTCTTGGAGAGTTTCTTCAATATTTTCTCCTAGTAATTTTATAGTTTGAGTTCTTAAAGTATGTAATCCATTATAATTTGATTTTTATATGTGGTTAGAGATAGGGGTCTAGTTTTATTCTTCAGCATCTCTGAATTAAGTTTTCCTAGCACAATTTTTTGAAGAGAGTGGCTTTTCCTCAGTGTATATTCTTGGCACTTTTGTTGAAAACTAGTACACTGTAGGTGTGTGAATTTATTTCTGAGTTCTCTATTCTGTTCCCTTGGTCTATGTGTCTGTTTTTGTACAAGTACATACTGTTTTGGTTACTATAGTTCTGTAGTATAATTTGAAGCAAGGTGAAGTGATTCCTCCATTTTTTTCCTTTTGGCTCAGAATAGCTTAGACTATTTAGGTCTTTTGATAAACCATATACATTTTAGGATTGTTTTCTTCTATTTCTGTGAAAAAGCGTGACTGATAGTTGAATAGGGATTGCATTGAATCTGTAGATTACTTTGGGTAGTATGGACATTTTGAGAATATTGATTCTTCCAATCCATGAACATGAAATATATTTCCATTTTTTGGTGTCCTCTTCAGTTACTTTTATCAGAATTTTATGAGTTTATTGTGGAGACTTTTCACTTTTTTTGCCAATTCCTAGATATTTAATTTTACTTGTGGCTATTGTAGATGGGAGTATTATTTTATTTCTTTTTCAGATTGTCTCCTGGTGACATATAGAAATGCTATTGATTTTTGTATGCTGACTTTGTATCCTGCAACTGTACTGAATTTGTTTATCAGTTCTAGTAGTTTCCTCGTTTTCATCATTATTTTTTATTGGTTTGTTATTTAGTCTTTCTACTTAAGAGCAGTTTACACACCACCATTACAGTGTTGTACTATTCTGTTTTTCTGTGTGCTTACTATTACCAGTGAGTTTTTTATCTTAAGATGGTTTCTTTTAGCACATTAATATATTTTTCTTTCAAACTGAAAAACACCTTTCAGCATTTCATGTAGGATAGGTTTGGTGTTGATGAAATCTCTCAGCTTTTGTTTGTCTGGGAATGTCTTTATTTCTTCTTCATGCCTGAAGTATATTTTCACTAGATATACTATTTGAAAGTAAAAGTTTTTTTCCTTCAGTACTTTAAATATGTGATGTCACTCTTTTCTGGCCTGTAAGGTTTCCAGAAAAAGTCTGCTGCCAGACCTGTTGGAGCTTGATATAATTTGAATGTGCTTCCTGGCCCAAATCTTACATTGAAATGTAATCTCATATATTGGAGATGGGGCCAGGGAGGGAGGTGATTGAACCATGGGGGAAGATTTCTCATAAAAGGATTAACACCATCCTTCTTGGTGCCATCCCCCTGATAGAGAGTGAGTACTTCTGAGATCTAGCCATTTAAAAGTGTGTTGCACCTCTCTCCTCACTCTCTTGCTCATGCTTTTGCCATGTGACATAATTGCTCCCCCATTGCCTTTGACCATGATTGTAAGTTTTCTGAGGCCTTCCCAGATGCTGAGCATATGCCAGCATCATGCTTTCTGTGCAGCCTGTATAACAGTGAGACAATTAAACCTTTTTACTTTATAAATTTCCCAGTGTCAGCTATTTCACAAAAAAAAAAAAAAAAAAAAAAAAAAAAAAAAAAAAAAACACGGTACCAAGGAGTTGGGAATTTTTCTAAAGATACCTGAAATCTGGAAACAACTTTGGAATTGGGTAGCAGACAGAAACTGGAAGAGTGTGGAGGGTTCAGAAGAAGACAGGAAGATGAGGGAATGTTTGAAACTTTTTAGTGACTGGTTAAATTGTTGTGACCACAATGCTGATAGTCATAGAAACAATGAAGTCCAGGTTGAGGAGATCTCAGATGGAAATGAGAAACTTATTGGGAAATGGAGCCAAGGTCACTTTTGTTATGACTTAGCAAAAAAATTGGTTGCATTGTGCCCCTGGCTTGGGGATCTGTGAAACTTTGAACTTGAGAGTGATGATTTAGGGCATCTGGTGGAAGAAATTTCTCAGCAGCAAAGCATTCAAGATTTGACCTGGCTGCTTCTAATAGCCTGTGTTCATATGTGGGAGTAAATAAATGACTTAAAGCTGAAACTTATATTTAAAAGGGAAGCATAATGTAAAAGTTTGAAAATTTTTCAGCCTGGCCATATCACAGAGAAAAAAAAAAGCTTTTTCAGGAGAGAAATTCAAGCAGATGAGACTTTGGACTTTGAACTTTTGAGTTAACACTGAAATGAATTAAGACTTTGTGGGATTATTGGAAAGGCGTGATTGCATTTTGAAATGTTAGAAGAAGATGAGATTTGGGAGAGGCCAGCTTCAGAATAATATAGTTGTCCCTGCCCACACCTCATATTAAAATGTAATCCACAATATTGGGGGTGGGGCCTGGTGGAAGGTGATTGGATCACGGAAGCTGATTTCTTATGAATGGTTTGGCATCATTCCCTCAGTACTGTCCTCACAATAAAGAGTGAGTTCTCCTGAGATCTGGTTGTTTAAAAGTGTGTAGCACCTCTAAACTCACTCTCTTGCTCCTGCTTTTGCCATGTGAGGTATTTGTTCCCCCTTTGCCTTTTGCTATGATGGTAAGTTTCCTGATGTCTCCCCAGAACCTGAGCATATAGTAGTATCATGCTTTCTGTACAACCTGCATGACTGTGAGCCAGTTAAAACTCTTCTCTTTATAAATTACTCAATCTCTGGTATTTCTTTATAGCAATGCAAGAATAAACTAATACAGAGCTCTATTTTATGTTAGTTTTTTCTTTTCTCTTGCTGCTTTTAGGATTCTTTCCTTATCAATGACCTTTGGGAGTGTGGTTATTAAATGCCTAGACATAGTCTTCTTTGGGTTAAATCTGCCTGGTGCTCTGTAACCTTCTTATACTTGAATGCTGATATCTTTTGATAGGTTTAGGGAGTTCTCTGATATTATCCCTTTGAGAAAACTTTCTGCCTATACCTCTTTCCCTACCTCCCCTTTAAGGCCAATAACTCTTAGATTAGTGCTTTTGAGGCTATTTATCTAGATAATGTAGTGATACTTCTTTGTTTTTTTTAATTATTTTTGTCCCATCTGACTTTGTATTTTTTATAGCCTTTCTTCAAGCTCACTAATTCTTTCTTCTGCTTGATGCATTCTGTGATTCAAAGATGGATGCATTCTTCAGTATGTCAATTGAATTTTTCAGCTCCAGAATTTCTGGTTGATTCCTTTTAATTATTTTAATCTCTTTGTTAAATTTATTGGATAGAATTTTGAATAACTTCTCTGTGTTATCTTGAATTTCTTTGAGATTCCTTAACACAGCTATTTTGAATTCTCTATCTAAAAAGTCATATATCTCTATTTTTCTAGGATTGGTCCCCGGTGCCTTATTTAGTTCATTTGGTGAGGGCAAACTTTCTTGGGTGGTGTTGATGCTCGTACAAGTTCATTAATGTCTGAGCTTTGAATAGTCAGGTATTTATTGTAGTTTTCACAGCCTGGGATTGTCCTTCTTGGTAAGGCTATCCAGGTATTTGAAAGGATTTGGGCTTCAAGCCCACTAACACTGTGGTTTTTGTGGACTCCTAGAGCTACTGCCTTGGTAGTCTTAAATAAGATCCAAAAGAATTCTCTAGATTACCAGGAAGAGACTCATATTGTCTTCCCTTACTTTCTCCCAAATAAACAGAGTCTCTCTTTCTGTGTTGAGCCATGTGAGGCCGGGGATGTTGTGATGCAAGCACCTCCATGGCCACTATCACTGAGACTGTGCTGCACCAGATCTGAAGCCAGCACAGCACTGGGTCTTGCCCAAGATGCTTTTCTTAAGGGTGATGGATTTCCCCAGGACTTGGAGATGTCCAGTGATGTCTAGGAGCCAGGACTTGGCATCAAAAGTTTCACCAGTTTACCTGATGTTCTCTTCCATTGTGGCTAAGCTGGCACTCACACAAGAAAACAAAGTCCTTCTACATCTTCCATCCCCTTTACAAAGGCAGAGGAGTTTCTCCCTGTGGCCATAACCACTGCCAGTTCATGGGTGTTCAGCCAGATCACCACTGATGTTCACTTAAAGACCAAGTCAGCTTGTGGTGACTGCTGTCAGGTCTAGCACTCAGTCTTCAGGGCAGTGGTCTTCCCTTTGGCCTAGGGCAGGTCCATAAATGATGTCCAAGAACCTAGGTCTGTACACAAGGAAAGCAAGGGCCTGCTTGTTGCTCCAACTGCTGTGGATGAGCTGGTAGAAAACAATGTTTCTTTAACTTTTCCTTTTGCTTTTCTCAAACAGTTGGAGTCTTTCAATGTAGCCAGCACAGCTGGAAATGTGCTGGGTCACACCCGAAGCCAGCGTATCTCAGAACCCACCACCCATGGAACACTACATGAGTCACTGCTGGTTATTCAGAGCCCAAGGTTTCTTTAGTCAGCAGTTTATGACTAACTGCCAGAACTGGTTCCTTCCCTTCAAGGCCATGGGTTTGCTTCCAGCCCTGGTTGTATCTAGATAAGTCATCTGTGAGATAGAGCCTAGAAAGGGGGACTCACAATTCTGCCCATTGCCCTATCCTACTGTGGCTGAGCTGGTATCCAAAATGCATAATAAAAGTCCCTTTTACTCTTTGCTTTCCTTGCCTCAAGAAGAAGGAAGGAGTCACTTTATTGTTGCGAGCTGCACTGTCTGGGCTTGGGAGAGGGGTGGCACAAGGACTCCCTTAGCTGCCCCAGCTGGTGTCTGCCTAGGTCACATGCCACTCTAATTCACTGACTCTAAGCCCAGCCTAGCACTAGGAGTTGCCTAGCAATTGCATTCCTCGTGTCTCACATTGCCTTTCATGTTTACCTAGAAACCCCGAGCAATTCGGTTTGTGATGGCAAGGCTTGCTGAGAAACTCAAGTTCTGACCACCAGAACACCCCTCTGGCTAGGTCTGGTCCAAATGCTCCCTCAATGTGCAAGGGATGGCTAAGCCCAGCACAGCTTCATTCTCCACTATGACAGGGCAGGACTAAGTTCAATGTAAAGTCCCCAGTCACTGCAATATTCCTCCCTAAAGTGCACAGTTTCTCTTTCTGCACCACAAGACCTCTGCTATTAGATGAAGGAGAGGTGGCATCAGTAATTCAAGACTGTCTCTTCTCCCCTCCTCAGTGCCTCTTTTAATGATATGATATTAAAACCATGTACTATGATTGCTCACTTAAATTTTGGTTCTTATGACAGTGGTGTGTGTGTGTGTGTGTGTAAAGATACTTGTTAAAATTTGGTATTCCTTTTGGGGGATAAACAGCGTAGGCTTATATTTCACAATCTTGCTCTTCCTTTGCTCTATTTGTATTTTTTTAAAGGCTTTTTAACAAGCATCAATATTTGATTAGTCATAAACATTCAGAAATGTAGATCATATTATGTAGCATTTTATTTATTCTTTTTTCTTAATCCTGCAAATGATTCTGTTTTCATAAATTTCCCAATGCACTCATCTCAATACACATGAACATAATTTTCAGATTTTTTTGACATCACTTTTTTCATACAAAAGCCTTTGAGTTAATTACAAAATACCCAAATGTCCTCCCACACATCTACTAAGTGGCTGCTTGTTATTTTGAATCAATGACAAGTAAAATCAACTAGATGCCCAATGGAAATTTTGGCAAGGATTTTAAATTATAATTATTAAATGTAAAAAGTGTTCCCATAGCTTAAATTTTAAACAAAATTTAATTATATGACTCATAATTTCTCAAATATTAAATGTTAGAAACAAATTTTAAAACCTAGCAAAGATAATTATGTTTGACTGTTACTTGACATAGCAATTAATATCTTAAAATAAACATGATTACTTAATCAAGATCAATTAAGTTAAGATACCAGCAAGTTATTCTGAAACTATCTATAATTATTTAATTACTAAGACAAATATAAACAAAACACTAGTCTATAGAATGGAAGAAAAATGTTTTGATAGAAAGTTAATCATCTCAAATTTATTCTTATCTTTTCTACTTAGAGGAGTTTACACCAATATTTTTCCAAGAGTTTTTAGTAGGATTTATGATACTTTACAAAGAATTGATCTTATCTCCTTAGTCCTGGAAAGCATGACAAATCACTCATAAGTTGAGTGTAGCAGTGGATGACCTTATTTTTTTTCTTGTTTTCATATAGAACTTCAAGCACATAAGTCTTAATCTAATTTACTCTTTAACCAGTTCCTTCCTAATGAACTCCATATTTTCAGAGAGTTTAAACATTATTTGATATATTCTTTTATATTATGCTATTAGTAACAATGTAACTCTTCTATGAGCATGTGCCTTTTTAAAAGACAACTCATTCACTTAGTCATTCAGCAACTTTATTTTCTACAATATGTCTGGGCACATAGAAAAATGGGCAGGGAAAAAAACAACTCAACCTGCGTTATGATGGAAGAACAATGTCAAGATTAAATTGTGATGTTTTGAATGCTGCATATTCAAATACTGAGTCACCTGTGAAACTTATTATGTGTTGATATGGTTTGGCTGTGTCTCCACTCAAATCTCATTTTGAATTGTAGTTTCCATAATCTCCATATGCTGTGGGAGAGAACAAGTGGGAGATAATTGAATCATAAGGGTGGTTATCCCCATGCTGTTCTCATGTTAGTGAGTTCTCACAAGATCAGATGGTATTATAAAGGGCTTTTCCCCCTTTGCTCAGCACTCACTCCATCCAGCCACCCTGTGAAGAAAGTGCCTGCTTTGCCTTTTGCCATAATTGTAAGTTTCCTGAGGTCTCCCCAGCAATGCAGAACTGTGAGTCAATTAAACCTCTTCCCTTTATAAATTATTCACCCTAGGTTTTTTTTTCATGTCACTGTGAGAATAAACTAATACAGTAAATTGGTACCAAGGTACTGGTGCACTGCTATAAAGACATTAGAAAATGTGGAAGCAACTTTGGAACTGGGTAACAGGCAGAGATTGAAACAGCTTGGAGGGCTCTAAAGAAGATAGAAAAATATGGGAAAGTTTGGACCTTCATAGAGGCTTGGAGGGCTCAGAAGTAGACAGGAAAATGTGGGAAAGTTTAGAACTTCCCAGAGACTTGTTGAATGGCTTTGACCAAAGTGCTGATAGTGATATAGACAACGCAGTCCAAGCTGAGGTGGTTTCAAATGGAGAAAAAAAATTTCTTGGGTATTGGAATAAATATGATTCTTGCTGTGCTTTAGTGAAGAGACTGGTGGGATTTTGCCCCTGCTCTAGAGATCTGTGGAACTTTGAACTTGAGAGAGATGATTTAGGGTATCTGGCAGAAGAAATTTCTAAGTGGCAAAGCATTAAGAGGAAGCAGAGCATAAACGTTTGGAAAATTTTCAGCTTCATGGTGCAATAGAAAGGAGAAATCCATTTCATTTTCTGGGGGAGAAATTCAAGCCTTCTGCAGAAATTTGCCTAATTAACAAGGAGCTGAATGCTAATTCCCAAGGCAGTGGGTGAAATGTCTGCAGAGCATGTCAGAGACCTTCACAGCAATTCTTTCCATCAAAGACCTGGAGGCCTAGAAGGAAAAATGGTTTCATGGGCTGGGCCCAGGGCCCTTCTCTGTGCAGCCTCAGGGCATGGTGCCTTGCATCCCAGCTGCTTCAGTCTCAGCCATGGCTAGAAGAGGTCAACATACAGCTAAGGAAGTTGCTTCAGAGGGTGCAAGCCCCAAGCCTTGGTGAATTATACATGGTGTTGGGCTTTCTGGTGCACAGAGTGAAAAATTGAGTTTTGGGAACCTTCAACTAGATTTCAGAGGATGTATGGAAACACCTGGATAGCCAGGCAGAAGTTTGCTGCATGGGTGGAGCCCTCATGGAGAACCTCTTCTAGGGCAGTGCAGAAGGGAAATGTGAAATTGGAGCCCTCACACAAAGTCCCCTTTGGGGCACTGCCTAGTGGAGCTGTGAGAAGAGGGTCACAGACCCCAGAATGGTAGGTCCACCAACAGATTGCAATGTGCACCTGGAAAAGCTGCAGACACTAAATTCCAGCCTGTGAAAGCAGCCCAGAGCAGGGCTGTACCCTACAAAGCCACAGGCGTGGACCAGCCTAAGATCATGAGAGTCCACCTCTTGCATCAGTGTGACCTGGATGTGAGACATGGAGTTAAAGAAAATCGCTTTGGAGTGTTAAGATTTATTGACTTCTCTGTTGGGTTTTGTACTTGCATAGGTTCTGTAGCCTCTTGGTTTTTGCCAATTTATCTCACTTGGAACAGATAGAATTACCCAATTTCCATACTTTCATTGTTTCCAGGAAATAACTAACTTGCTTTTGATTTTACAGGCTCACAGGCAGAAGTGACTTGCCTTGTCTTGGATGAGACTTTGGACTTGGACTTTTGGGTTAATGCTGGAATGAGCTAAAACTCTGGGGGACTGTTGGAAAGGTATTATTGTGTTTTGAAGTGTGAGTATATAAGATTTGGGTGGGGACAGGGGTGGAATTGTGTGGTTTGGCTGTGTCTCCACCCAAATCTTATCTTGAATTATTTTTCTCATGATCCCTACATGTCATGGGAGGGACCCAGTGG
Organism: Homo sapiens; assembly: GCF_000001405.40. Taxonomy (NCBI): domain Eukaryota; kingdom Metazoa; phylum Chordata; class Mammalia; order Primates; family Hominidae; genus Homo; species Homo sapiens. The sequence continues at coordinate 5,675,311 of NC_000024.10, read as the reverse complement.
GAGGTAATTGGCTCATGTTGGTGGTTACCCCCATGCTGTTCTCATGATAGTGAGTTCTCACAAGATCTGATAGTTTTATAAGTGGCTTTTTACATTTTGCTCAGCACTCACTCCTTTCTGTCACCCTGCAAAGATGGTGCTTGCTTTGGCTTCTGCCATAATTGTAAGTTTCCTGAGGCCTCCACAGCAATGTGAAATTGTGAGTCAATCATACCTCTTACCTTTACAAATTACCCAGTTTTGGGTATTTCTTCATAGCAGTGTGAGAATGAGCTAATACATGTGTTTAGCCAAAAGGACCTTCCAGGAGCCTCTGTCATAATAGCTTATGAAATAAGACTTTTGATCAATAATTCTTTTAATCAGAGAAGGACAGAACCTTTCTAAAATTGAATAGAAGGGATGGTAATGCAAGTGCTATGCAAATACCAAGCAGCTGTTTCATAAGGGAAACTATGGCTTTGGAAATACAATAGCCATAGCACCAGTTATCTGAAGTCATGAATGTGTTAGTTTAAGATCTCAGACCTCAGACGTCTCCAAACTGCAAGCACTGCCTACAATAAACTTTAAAATATTCCATTGAAGTCTCTAATCTGTATGATTTGTATTTCCTTTGGTTATATCAGGATTACAGTATTATTATATTCCAGAAAATATTAGACATTTTTCTGTCAAAATTTCAGGTCCCTTGAGAAGTTGAAAAATAACCTCCCTATCATAAACCTAATTTTTTATGTGAATGTTAAAATATCATCATGATAGATCCTAGGTACATATTTAAAAGAAGTACTGAAGGTCAAATCAAATATTTCTTCTGTGTTTTAGACTATGCACTTGAATTAAAAATTCCCTTCCATTTCAAACAAAGTTTAAACCTTATAAACTTAGCAAACCACTTCTGCTGTGTGGGCCTTAATTTTATTTTCTTTAATAGTGAAGATGTAGAACTGGATGATCTCTAAGATTCTTTCTGATACTATTATTCAGCATGCATTTTAAAAGTTATGAGGTTCCTATGTTGCACCAGGTGTTGGGTTAAGCATTGCAGAAACAAAAATACACATCGCGAAACCCTGCTACTCAGGCTCTGATATTATAATAGAGAATACGCGTTTGTAAACAAGTTAATTACACTAGAAAGTGCTAAAATGAGAACTGAGAGGCTTTGGAGGGCTAAGGAAACAAAGAATAACCTTAGACAGTATGGAAAGTTTGGTGGGAAGTGGGAAGTTGACAGTGGGAAGAGCTAGCTTATATAAAGGCATGCCAAGAAGAAAGTGAGGCTCCTTTGCAGGATCCTTCTTAGTTCACAGTTCACATTAGGAGAAGAATATGCCATATAGAAAATGACAAAAATAGGTGTAAGTTATAGAAAACAGAAAACAGATGATAAGAACAAACTTATTTCAATTATTTTTTGTAGCCATTAAAGAGTTAATAAAAAATTCAGAGCAAAGAGGTGATATTCAATTCAAAAATTAATAATATATCAATTTAAAAATTAAGAGTTGCTAAGTGCTATAGGCTGAAGAATAGTTTATAAAAATGGAGGATTATCGAAGGGGTTATAGTTAGATATATATGTTTGAACTATGTAATTAATAAAGTCCCTCTGATTCTAAGGGGTTTAAGGCTTTAACTAGGTTATGCCATTTTCCCCATAAATAAATACCCCTACCCTGTACCCATAAAATTTTTAAAAATAATAATAGTAATTTTTAAAAAATTCTTTAGGGCCTGGAATATCAGGCTAAATTTTAGTGTTTAGCTGTAAATAATGCAAGTCTTTTAACTGATTTAAAGAAAGTGGCATGCATAAAATATGGCATAGAAAGGTGGCATTTCCTCTTCTTGCTGTATACAAGACATTGAAGAGTAGAATGTAGAATATCTTTGTTTTCCACAACTAAAACACAATACTTACAATAAATAGTATGTTTTGAGGAACTTACAGGTCATCAGAGTGGCCAGTTAACTCTTCTTTGCAGATAGAGATACGTTGGTGAAAAATGTTGAGAAGAATCAAGGCATATTCTACCTCTAAAACCGACTGTTCTATGATTAAAAAATTTTTTCTTGGTTGATTAACAGTGAAGATCTAGTGTTCTTCCAATTTGAGTAAAACTGACTCTGTGTAAATAAAGAATATTTTCCCATAATGGAGAATGAGATACTGAATTTACCAAGCTTTCACTCCTGAATTTTTGTCACTTCTGCAACACATTCATATTCTCTATTCTGAGTAACACAGTGGGTGGTTTTGAAAGTTTATCTAGAACTCCAGAAATTAAGAAAGGAGGGGGAGCAAGATGGTGGAATAGAAAACTCCACCTATTGAATGATAATGGAAATATAACACCAAAACCTATGGGATACAGCAAAAGCAGTGTTAAGAAGAAAGTTTATAGCTATATTTGCCTACATCAAAAAAGAGGAGAAAAACTTCAAATAAACAATCTAATGATGCATCTTAAAGAACTAGGAAATCAAAAGCATTCCAAACCAAAATTAGTATAAGAAAAAAAAGATTAGAATAGAAATAAATAAAATTAAAATGAAAACAATACAAAAGATGAGTGAAAAAAGTTGGTTTTTGGGAAAGTTAAACAAATTGACAAACTTTTAGCTAGACTGACTAATAAAAAAGGAGAAGATTCAAATATGTAAAACTAGAAATGCTAAAGAAGACGCTACAACTGATGCTGCAAGAAATTCAAAGGGTCATTAGTGGCTACTATGAGCAACTATATGCCTATAAATTGGAAAATCTAGAAGAAATAGACAAATTCCAAGACATGCACAACCCAATAAAATTGAATTAGGAAGTACTCTGAAACCTGAACAGACAAATAACAAGTAATGAGACCAAAGTCTTAATAAAAAAAAAAAATCCCAGTTAAAAAAGCCCGAGACCCGACGACTTCAACGCTGAATTCTACCAAACATGTAAAGAAAAGCTAATAAGGATGCTACTCAAACAATTCTTAAAAATAGAGGTAGATGGAATACTTTCAAATTCATTCTATGAGGCCAATATTATCCTGATACCAAAAGCAGACAAAGGCACATCAAGAAACACACACACACACACACACGAAAATTGCAGGACAATATCCGTGATGAGTATTGATGCAAAAATTTCCAAGAAAATACTAGCAAACCAAATTCAAAAACACAATAGAAAGATTATTCATTATAACCAAGTGAGATTTACCCCTGGGATGCAAGAGTGGTTCAACACACACAAATCAATCAATGTGATAAATCATATAAACAGAAGGTAGGATAAAATCCATATGATGTTTTCAACTGATGCTGAAAGTATATGAAAAAATTTAGCATTCCTTTATGATTAAAAACCCTCAAAGAAATGGGTATAGAAGGAACATACATCAATGCAATAAAAGCCATGTATGACAGAACCTCAGCAAGTATCATACTGAATGGGGAAAAATGGAAATCCTATTCTCTAACACCTGAAACTTGAAAGGATGCCCACTTTCACTGCTGTAATTCAACATAGTAGCAAGAACTAGCTAGAACAATCATACAGGAGAAGATACAAAGGGCATCAAAACTGGAGTGAAAGAAATCAAATTATCCTTGTTTATAGCTGATATGATCTTATATTTGGAAAAACCTAAGACTGCACGAACGAAACTGTTAGAACTCATGAACAAGGTCAGTAAAGTTGCAGGATAAAAAATTAACATGCAGTAGTATTTTTATATGCCAACAAGGAACAATCTGTAAGAGAAATTTTAAAAAGTTATCGCATTTACAATAGTAACAAATAAAAGTAAATACCTAGGAATTAACCAAAAGTGAGAGATCTCTGTAATGAAAGCTATAAAACACTGATGAAAAAAATTGAGGAGGACACCAAAAAATTGAAAGATATTCCATGTTCATGAAATGGTAAAATTAATATTGTTAAAACATCCATAATACTCAAAGCAATCTACAGACTCAATGCAATCTTTATCAAAATACTGGTGGCATTACTCATTGAACTAGAAAAATCACCCTGAATCTTATATGGAATCACAAAAATTCCCAAATTATCAAAGCTATCCTGAGGGAAAAAAAAAAAAACTAGAGGAATCACCTTACCTGACTTCAAATTATACTACACTGCTATAGTAACCAACACAGCCTGGTGGCATTAAAACAGACACATAGACCAATGGAACAGAATAGAGAACCCAGAATTAAATCCACACACTTATAATGAATTCATTTTTGACAAAAATGCCAAGAACATACACTTGGGAAAAGAAAGTTTATTCAATAAATGAGGCTGGGAAAATTGGATATTTGTATGGAGAATAAAACTAGACCCTCCTCTCATCCTATACAAAAATAAAATCAAAATGGATTAAATATTTAAATCTAAGACTTCAAACTATGAACCTACTACAAGAAAACATTGGAGAAACTCTCTAGGACATTGGTCTGGGCAAAAATTTCATGAGTACAAGCACAGACAACCAAAGCAAAAATAAACAAACGAGATCACATTAAGTTAAAAAGCTTCTGCACAGCAGAGGAAGCTATCAACAAAGTGAAGAGACAACCCACAGAAGGGGAGAAAATATTTGCAACCTACCCATCTGACAAAAATTAATAAACAGAATATATAAGGAGTTCAAACAAGTCTATAGGAAATTAATAATCTGAGCAAAAAAAAAATGGGCAAAAGATTTAAATAGACCTTTCTCAAAAGAAGAAATACAGATGTCAAACAAGTATATGAAAAAGAAATACAAATCAAAACTACAATGAGATATCCTCTCAACCCAGTTAAATTGGCTTTTATCCAAAACACAGGCAATAACAAATGCTAGCACAGATGTAGAGTAAAGGGAACCCTAGTACACTGATGGTGGAAATATAAATTAGTACAACCACTCTAGAGAACAGTTTGGAGTTTTTTCAAAAAAACAAAAATTGAGCTACCATATGATCCAGCAATTCCCCTGCTTGGCATATACCAAAAAGAAAGGAAATCAGTATATCAAAGAGACATTTGCACTCCTATGTTTGTGCAGCACTGTTCACAGTAGCTAAGATTTGTAAGCAACCTAAGTTTCCATCAACAGATGAACAGAGAAAGAAATGTGGTACATATATACAATGGAGTACTATTTAGCCATAAAAAAGAATGAGATCCAGTCATATGCAACAATATGAATGGAACTGGAGATCATTATGTTAAGTGAAATAAGCCAGGAACAGAAAGATAAACATCATATGTTCTAACTTATTTGTGGGATCTAAAAATCAAAACAACTGAACTCATGGAAATAGAAAGTAAAAGGATGATTACCCAGGGTGGGGAAGGGTAGTGTGTGGTGGGATTTAGATGGGGATGGTTAATGAGTGCAAAAATAGTTAGAAAGAATTAATAAGACCAAGTATTTGATAGCACAACAGGATGACTATAGTCGATAATAATTTAATTATACATTTAAAAATAACTAAATGAATATAATTGGATGGTTTGTAACATAAAGGATAAATACTTGAGGAGATGGGTACCCCATTCTCCATGATTTGATTATTACATATTGCATGCCTGATTCAAAATATCCAAGGTATCACATAAATATATATACTTACTATATACAAAAATAAATTAAAATTTAAAAAATTCAGAAAGAAAACTATTCCAGAAATTTATACTAAAATAATCATGGGTTTATTTTTTAACTATATAAGTGAGAGAGTACCTAGATATCCAAGGAAGATATTTATGATATTACAATAGGAAAAATGCAAACCCTTTATTTCATAGCACATTTAATATGCTTTTTAAATGAATACACAGATATGGGTGAGCCTGAAGCATATTATACTAAGTGAAATAAACCAGGCACAAAGGATTAATACCGCATGTTTCCACTTATATTTGGAAACTAAAAATTTGATCCCACGTAAGTAGAGAGTAGAATTGCGGTTACTAGAAGCTACAAAGGGTAGGGAGAAGAGGAGAGAGGGAGACATTCATTAAAGGATACAAAATTACAACTAGATAGGAAGATTAAGTTCTAGCATTCTATAGCACTGTAGGATTACTCTAGTTTACAATAATTTATGATATGTTTTCAAAAAGCTAGACGAGAGGATTTCGAATATTCCCACTACAAGAAATCATAAATGCTTTAAGTGACTGATATGCTAATTACCCTGATTTGATCACTATGCATTGTATGTATCAAAACATCACTATGTACCCCATAAATATGTTCAATTATTATGTCTATTAAAATATATTAAATAAAAATACATATGCTGCTTTTTAATAATATACTTGAGTTTCTTTTTATGTATATTTCAGTGAGATGACTTTGTTTTATTTATTCTGAACCATAGATGTTTTTTGCTCTCTTTCGCCATCGTGAAAAGGATCTTAGGGAGAGATTAAATAAATCATTAAAGTTTTGTTCTAAATAGATAAACCACAGGAAAAAAGGCACTACTCATGGTGAGAAATACATGTTTTCTTAACAAGTATTTTACAGAGGAACTCGGTGAATCTGAATTTAGATCACGAATTTGAAAATGTTCATCATTTTCATGCAACTTCTCATTTTTTCTATTGTTTCAGAACTCATTTACACACATAAAGAAACTGTGTTGAAAGTAAATGTAAGCACTGAACAGAGACACTTAATTTCAGGTTGAACAATACAGGTAGCATTTTCACATTGAACTGAAATCATGATACTTTCTAAGTAAGCAGCAAATGAAATGAAGTGAAAGTCCATTTCATGTTCAAGACGAAATTATAAATGAGTGCTACAAAATAAGGCAATGTAAGGCATTAAGTTAAATTTTAAGTTAGAAAAGCAAAGTCAAATGTATGTGCATACATATACATATTATATATGTATATGTACTTTCTTAATTAGACATTATTGTCATATTTGACAATTACACATTTGTGTCCCTCATAAAGTACTGAAAGAGAGTATTTTGGAGTTGCATAATGTGCCTTGTGAGAATATATAGTGAATCATTTTTTATATAGCATCTAGTCCTACAATGATCAGATGTACCTGGTGTAGGCTTTAAACTGTTGAATGGTACACTTTAAGCCTGATTTCAATAAATGACAATTGCACTGTTTTTTTCACACATTAACAAAACTGATTAGATATTTTTAAAGACCTTCTGAGCCTTTAATTTATGTTTTGACTGTTTCAGCTGACATAATTTTAATAATTTAAAATGAATAATTTTAATAACTCTAGTAATGCTTGCAATATTCTCTAATGATGGATCGAACATGTCACTGAAAAACAAGTGTACCTTTTTCTTCTTTGATCCTATGAGCAAACATTTTAAGTAGAATTTATGTCATTTGGTGTTGGCTCTGTCATCTTTTAAGATCACTACTTTCTATAGCATTGTGGGAGATAAGGGCAAAATGGCTGAAAGGAAAGCTTGGCATTGCAGTATTGAAATTGGCTCACATTTCAGAAGGTGCTAGTGTTAACCGAAATTAACTTTGGGAACTTCATCATGTTATCATAGGTTTGACAACATCAGCAACTATCATTCCACACGCTGATGATAAGATGCCAGAAGGCTAGATAAGAGAATTTTAGGGGCTGTGTGCGATGGCTCATGCCTGCAATCCCAGCACTTTGGGAAGCTGAAGCTAGTGGATTGCTTGAGCCCAGGAGTCTGAGATCAGCCTGAGCAACATAGTGAAACCCTGTCTCTACAAAAACTACAAAAATTAGCCAGGAGTGGTGGTGCCTGCCGGAAGTCCCAGCTACTCAGGAGGCTGAGGTGCGAGGATCACGTAAGCCTGGGGAGGTCAAGCGAGCAGTGAGCCATGATTGTGTCACTGCACTCCAGCCTGGACAACTGAAAGGATGTCTCAAAACAAACAAACAAACAAAACTTAGAAAAGGAAAGAATTAAAAAAAATAGAATTGCAGGAAAGGAATGAGTTCTTTCCTTTAAGAGTATTTTATAGATGACAATGCACAATTTAAACTTGGATTGTGAGGAAGGAAGAAACCAGATCATCTCCTTTTTAAAAAGGCTTTTGGTTTTAATCACCTTTTACATATATTGAAGCTATTGACACTTTACAAAAATAGAATAAACATGTTAATGTAATTTCTGTATTGCCAAAATGACATTTTAATAGATGTTAAAATTCTTATATATATATATATATATAGCCATGATGGCGCCCACCAGTAGTCCCAGAAGCTGAGGAAGCTGAAGCAGAAGAATCGCCTAAACCTGGGAAGCCAAGTTTGCAGTGAGCTGAGATCCAGCCACTGCACTCCAGCCTGGGCAACAGAGCAAGACTCAATCTCAAAAAATAAAAAAATAAAAAAAAAAGAAAAGAAAAAGCCCATTAGAAAAAAATGTACAACTATCATTTTTTTCTCAAGGTAAATGTTTACCTTCTAAAGGCCTCGACAGGAAAAATAAACACTAAATATAAATCCTCATAATGGTATAAGAAAAGTTACTAGAAACATTCAAAATGTTAAGGAGGTAAGAAAAGAAGAAGAAGGGAGAGCGAGGGATGGAGAGAGAGAGGGAGACAGGGAGAAAGGGAGGAAGGAAGAGAGAGACATTCATTCACATTTTTTTTCTAAGATTACAATTTAATCTTCCCTTAGAAACTCCAGGTGAGAAGTAGAATCTGCATTTCGATAGCATCTTTCCATAACAAATATTACCTTAAGTAAGCAACATTTAAAAAATATCTGCTATTATTTCAACATGTTTTATTTTATAACCGTTTCCTTTTACTACTAATCTCTTATCTTTTATGTCGTGTTCTAAATAGTTTATCCAAGAATCTTGACAGTTATGAGCCAATAGAGAAATCAATCATTAATTTTCACAGTTCTTGCCAAATCACCTTAATACTACTTAAATTCACAGAAAGAGTTAACAATTCCTAAAACGGAATTTATGCAGAATTTCTGTAATAGTATTTTCTAACAAAACTATCTGGAAGCTGCTTCTTTTTTGCTGGGCTTCCCTAAAGGTGCAGTAAATATGTCCATGCTGAGGAGGAAAATCATTTCTTCCCATGCAGTGAATGATCTTAGTGCTCCAAGGAGGTCAATAAGATACTGTGCTAAGGCGCGTTGCAAAGACACAGTGAGGAGAACAAAAGATGGGTATTTCAGGCAACAAGCATTTGAAATATAATAATTGAGTGCTGACTAGATGATATGTGGTCTCTTTGCCCCTGCAGACATAGACCCAATATGAAGGACAGTATCTAAAGCTCACTTTCAGATATACTATTTTTTAAGTTAAAGGGAATATACTTGCGTAAATGGAGGGCAGTGATGAAATAATTGTATGGTTTGAAATACTGCAAGGAAACACAAAATTTCATCAGACACCTACATGTTTTACATAGTTCCTAATATGAATGTAAACTTGGATATTTTTCTCCACCTAAATGGATTATTACTACATAGCAACTTAATTTAGACTGAAATAACATCTGTAATTTGTAGAAGAAAATGGGGAATTTGGCATGACCTTATTTTTTTTCCTTGCATTAACATATGAGAACTATTATTTTCAATTTTTTTGCTATCCATTCTCAAAATGAGAATTGATAAAACACAAGTAATATGATTTACATTTTTATTGAAAAAAGTGTTATATATACAGAGAGATAAGAATTTTCTAAGACTCGTCTTTCATGTATGTTGATGGAAGATAACATTATTTGTACTTTAAATCAATGCAGTCTTCTCTGATAGTATAGAGTTTTCTGATGTTAACCCCATTCTGGCTAGAATCTGATAGATGGATATTATTTGTCCAATAATTTTTCTTTCAGATTATATTCTTTGTTCCACAACTGAATAAATGTGTGATTGTGGGTAAGTCACATCTGCTTTAAAACTTAGTTTTCCCATTACACAATAAAGAACTTGGATTCTATGATCCTTAAGATTATTTCAAATATAAAATTCAAATATTTTTCTTTGCTCTATTTCTAAGAGTAGACAAAGGTTCTCTGTTGTGTAAAAATCAGCTCACCACATAGTACATTAAATCAAATATTCGAAGTTTATCATTGGGTTCACATTTTTAAAATAAAAGGCGTAGACACACACTGACAGTGCCTGAAGGCTAGTGATAATACTTCCCCTACACCATATCATACAATTTAGCAGAAAATGATATCAGAGAAAATGCTATTTGTAAACCAAAGGGATTAAGTGTGATCACAATTTTATATTTTTAACTTGAAATGTTGGATGTAATCACACCTTTAAACTAATTCTACTAATTTTTCGATCAGACTGATGCAAAAGCTTTATTTAAATGTGTACTCATAAAAACAGAATTGTAAGCATATCAGGGAATTAATTATCAATTCAAGAATTTAACCCTTGAGGCTGGGTGTGGTGGCTCAAACCTGTAACCCCAGTACTTTGATAGGCTGAAGGGGGAGGATCACCTGAGGTCAGGAGTTCAAGACCAGTCTGACCAACATGGTGAAACCCTGTCTCTACAGAAATACAAAAATTAGCCCGGCATGATGGCGGGCAACTGTAATCCCAGCTGCTCAGGAGCCTGAGGCACGAGAATCACATGAACCCGGGAAGCGGAGCTTACACTGAGCCCAGACGGCTCCATTGCACTCCAGCCTGGGTGACAGAGCGAGACTCCGCCTCAAAAAAAAAAAAAAAGAAAAAAAAGGAATTTAACCTTCGAAGTCAATGATACTAAAAACGAGACTTTAACCACTCTCCTTATTTGATAGACTACATGTCTCTTATGTAGTAAGTTCTTACTGGTCTTTGGAATAAATAAGCCTCTAAATTATAAGTCACTCTGGTAAAAATGGAACAATATGCACAAAAGTAAATTCTTTTATGCCTCCCTAGTTTTTATGCCAATCACAAAACTTACTTGCTAATCATTACAACTTCTCTCTCTACTCTCTCCCACAGAGTGTACCAAAAGCTATAATGGCCTTTTTATTCCAGGCCTCCACATGGAAGCATGCATTTGGACAGCAGGAGCTCTCCAGTTATGCTGTTAAAATTCTACCCTACTGAATAGACTTTCTGTTCACTTAAAGGAATCATAGAATCTGGGTGAAGGCAGTATGAAGAGACAGGTACCAGTATATTCTGACTGTGTTTTGTAGGGGCTTGAATCTGGATATATCAATTGTAGTCGTCTGTACCATCAATAAAAACATGACATCTAAATTTAATATAAAAATTGTATTCATACCAGTTTTCCTTGCTTTAAAAAAGTGCTTCCATTATTAATACACACCAGTAAATTTCCTCCATAAAAGACATTTCTTCATGAAAGCTTTGATTAGATTAGGACCTTTAATTAGGGTGAGCCTGAGAATATCTGATTTTATTTGTGCTGAACATATCTAACCTTCTGAGTTAAAATGAAACCATATAATGGGGTTGAATTTACGGTGTCTTCAATGGCACCTAAGACAAGACCAAAGGGAGTTCACATAAGACAAGACCAAAGGGAGTAAGAAAAAAAATAATAAAACAAAAGCAAAATAATCATAACAAAATCCAACTCATGCACTCGTGCTGACTTTTCAGTGTACCTCAATGGCTAACTACATCTAACACGTCTTCAAAAGTTTTTCTAGTCCCACTATTTGAATAAGAAAATCAAGGGCAAAATGTTCTGCTACATCTTTTGTTAAACATAGTGAATAATTTCTCTTGTATTCTCCAAAGGCTGTGTTTTTCATAAAACCTATTTATTATGCAGGAAAATATAATTATATTTTCTCCAAGCATAACTTATGCATCTAAGAAAAAAAGCTAGCTTCTTAAAATGGTACATTTCGTTAAGGCATTTTGCTGTCCTACTTAGCCAGTATATGGGCAAATGTGAAGTATGTGTGAATCATGCTCAAGAAGGGAAATTCAATAAAAATAAGTGATACCTGCTTGAAACTCAGGGTTTTATTCCAATTATCTATAAATTAGTCCATGGTGTGAAAGGTGTCTGACAACTGCCACACATTAACCCCCGAGCATACTAGTTTTATCTAACAAGGGAATTAAAATGTCTGAAGTATATGGTTTTTAAAATTACCTCCCTTCTTTTCTTCCTTCCATTGTCTATCATCCATCCTACTTACAGAGTTTTGTGGTTATTTTTTAAATTGTTATATTAGCGTGTCTATATTCTTATTTATCTTTAACATGTTTGAAAAATAAGATTGGCTTTTGATGACTTCCTTTAGATTGTTTGAGTATAGTATTTCCTTCTGTTATTCTAGACTATGTATTATGATAAAACTTTTTTTTTTTTCGGCAGAGTCTCGCTCTGTCACCCAGGCTGGAGTGCAGTGGCACGATCTCGGCTCACTGCAACCTCCACCTCCCGGATTCAAGCCATTCTTCTGCCTCAGCCTCCCTCAGCTGGGATTACAGGTGCCCGCCATCATGCCCAGCTAGTTACAGGGGTGAGCCACCATGCCCGGCCAAAACTTTATTTATAAATAATGACCCTGATACCAATTTCATGAATTCATATCATAGCTTCTAGTCTATTTAGAGTGTTTTTAAAAAATGAGTTAGCTAGATATTTCTTTCTACTTTCTGATTACTAGGGTTTATAGGAAAGGTAGGATTAAAAACAAAATCTCTTTTCATGTGTATTCTTAACAAGTTCTTAACGTCTTCTTTTAGAAAAATTGTGTCAAAAGATGTTGATATGAATAAAATATAGTGCTGTATTAAGAACTATGTTACTGTGATATTTTGCAAGTCAATTTTATGTAATATTTGCTTTCAATCACGATTGGAGAAGTACATGTCTAGAGGAAGTTATAATGTTTAAAAATAAAGTTTAAAAAGTTATTAAAAGCCAAAATTTTAAAGGACAATATTATTATTGTATGATTAAGAAATGCAGTGTCCTGATATTCAGGAGATTTTACACTGATTTGTAATTTGGAATATTTTTTAAATACTTGTAGAAATCATATAATCTCACTAGTTCCTTTTATTCTAAATGGAAAAGTGGAAGTGAGTGGTGTTATAATCTGGATTTAAGAAGTATATTTTGTAAAGGATAAAATTGAAGGCTAAAGAATTTTGATGTCTTATGATTAATAATCCTGTTCAGGATTGTTAATAACAGAATTGGTTGAAACACTTCAATTTTGTCTATACTTTGAAAAATCTAGAAAGATGGCTCTCAAGAGACTAAAACAATATTTTCTTTATTGCACTTTTTTAAAGATCATGTATTCTTTATATTAAACCTGTATTGAATTTTGTAGATTTCTGCCACTAGAGAGGCTTTAGATTTTTCAGAGTACAACAGTTACCAGAAAATAAATGACAATCTTTTTTAAAGGTAAAAATTTCCATTTGTTGAAGTTATTTTACCTACATTCACAGAAAATAATGTTTTATCTTTCATGTAAAAGGAGACATATATATTAGTTGACTTCAAATTATTTTCTCATTCTAAATGATTTTCAAGAAACATACATTGATAATATATTGTGAATCCCACAAAACTTAGTCTTCTATTATAAACTCTTGGGAAAAAATATAAAAATGTGGTTTTATTATAATTTTATTCTAATTTATGGACATTTTAAAAGGTGCTAGTGGTCCCAGTGTTCCAACAATATAACATAAAGTATGGTAATACAGATAATTGTAAAGTCAAAAGTTTGGAAATCATTGGGATGAAGATTAGTATTTGTGTGCAGAACTGCAGGCAACTCTTCATCATCTCCTAATGTGCAACTACATATTAAAAGGTCCTAATATTGATGCAAAAGTGATATTTAATGAGTTCCTTTCAAAAAAAGAGATTTTCTCTGCAATGCCAAAATACTCATCAGGTAGAGTAAAATTCAGTGGAATAGGTGTTGAATTTCAGTTTATTCAATTCAATAATTTTTAAGTGAAATTTAATCACATTTACAAATTTCATCTTAAATATGTAGTGTGAGAATATGCTATAAAATATAATTATATAAAGTACATTTGAAATAAACTGACATCTCCCTGAGAAAAAAGTAATACAGAGAATTGTTTGAACTGGAAAACATACACCTATCAACATAATTTTAAGTGTAGTATTATATATAGCCTTTTTATTTTTATTTTTGAGAAGGAGTCTCACTCTGTCACCCAGGCTGGAGTGCAGTGGCACGATCTTGGCTCACTGCAACCTCCACCGCCTGGGTTCAAGCAATTCTCCGGCCTCAGCCTCCCAAGTAGCTGGAATTACAGGCACCCACCACCACGCCAGGCTAATTTTTGTATTGAAACGGGGTTTCACCATGTTGACCAAGCTGGTCTCGAACTCCTTTTTATAGTGAAAGGGGGTAGTTGTTGAATAGTTTTTTTTTTTAATTGAGTTATTTTTTTAAAGAACTTCTTGTTTAAAATAAATAAAAGCTTAAGAAAAAAATCTAAAGAGGGTGGTATAAGAAGGTGGAATAAAAGCCTACACTATTTGTCCCCTGCGCTGGAACACCAAATTTTAACAAGTATCTGCACACAGAGAAACATCATCACTGGACCAAAAATCAAGTGAGTAATCACAGTACATGGTTTAAATTCATATCACTGAAAGAGGCATTAAAAAGGATAGGAGAAACAGTCTGAAATAGCTGACACCACCCCTCCCCATCCACTGGCAGTGGTCCTGTGACACAGAGAGTTTGTGCACTTGGGGGAGGGAGAGCACAGTGACCTAGGGACTTTACATTGTACTCGGTGCTGCCTGTCACAGTGGAGAGCAAAGTCATGCTGGGATCAACCAGTACCCTGCACAGAGGGAGCATTTGGACCAGTCCTTACAAGAAGGGAATCGCCCATTACAGTGGTCAGAACTTGAGTTTTTTTAGCAAGCCTTACTGCTGTAGGCCAAAGTGCTCTGGGGTCCCAGGTAAACCTGAAAGGCAGTGTAGGACACAAGGAATACAATTCCTGGACAACTCCAAGCGCTAGGCTGGGCTTAGAGCCAGTGGACTCAAGTGGCACGTGACCTAGGAAGACACCAGCTAGGGCAGCTAAGAGAGTGCTTGTGCCACTCCTTTTCCAAGCCAAGTCAGTGCAGCTCGCAACAATAAAAGTGACTCCTTTCTTCAGATTAAGAAAAGGAAAGAAAAAAGGGGCCTTTCTTATGCATCTTGGATGCCAGCTCAGCCACAGAAGTAGAGGGCACCGGCAGAGTAGTGAGGTCCCCATTCTGGCTCACAGATGACATATCTAGAATCAACCTGGGCTAGAGGCAGACCCATGGCCTTGAAGGGAAAAAACCACTTCTGATAGGATTTATAAACTGCTGACTAAAGAGCCCTTGGGCTCTGAATAGTAAGGAGTGATAGTCAGGGAGTACTCCATGGGCCTTGGGCTCTGAGATGTACTGACTTCAGGTGTGACCTGCCATATTCCCAGCGGTGCTGGCTACAGTGAAAGACTCTTTCTGTTTGAAAAAAGCAGGGGGAATAATAATGAAGACTTTGTTTTGCACACTAGATACCAGTTTGGTCACAGTGGAGTAGAGCAACAAGCAGGCTCTTGGTGTCAAGTCCTGGTCTAGACTTTTGGACAGCAATTCTGGACCTGCTTTAGGCCAGAGAGGAGCTCACTACCTTGAAAGGCGTGTCATAGTTCTGGCAACATTCACTACAATCTCTTAGAAGAGCCCTTGGTCTTTAAGTGAACATAAGTAGTGGTGTGGCAGAACGCCTTATGGGCTGGTGGTGGTAGTGGCCACAGGGAGGGGTTCCTCTGCCTGTGGAAAGAGGAGGGAAAAGCAGGAAGGACTTCGTATTGTGGTGTGAGTGCCAGCTTACACAAAGTAGAATGAAATATTAGTTAAATTTGTAAGGTTTTGTACTACAATTGCTGGCTCTCAGACAGGATCTCTGCACAAGTCTGGGGCCTGAGAGATATCACTGCCCTGAATGAAAGAAGAGAAACCTGGCTGGTTTCACCACCTGCTGATTATAGAGCCCTAGAACCTTGGAGTCAACATAGGTGGTATCCAGGTAGTGGTTACGGTAGGACTTTGGTGAGACTCAGTGTTGTGCTGGCTTCAGGTCTGACCCAGCACAGACCCAGTAGTGGTGACCCCATGGTAGTTGCATCACAATGCCCACAGTTCCAGGTGGCTCAGCACACAGAGAGAGGCACTGTTTGGGCGAAGGTAAGGGAAGACAACATGAGACTCTTCCTGGTAATCCAGGTAATTCTTTTGGACCTTATCTAAGACTACCAAGGCAGTACCTCTATGAGTCCACAAAAACCACAGCATTATTGGGCACAGTACCCAATTCCCTTAGAATACATGGAAAACCTTCTCAAAAAGGACAGATGTAAAACAAGCTCAAATTGCAAAGACTACAATAAATATATATCTTTAATGCCCAGACACTGATGAATGTCCATAAGCAATCAAGATAATCAAGGAAAACATGGCCTTACCAAATGAACTAAATAAGTCATCAGGGACCAATCCTGGAGAAACAGGGACATGTGACCTTTCAGACAGATAATTCAAAATAGCTGTGTTGAGGAGGCTCAAAGAAATTTAAGATAACACAGAGAAGGAATTCAGAATTCTGTCAGGTAAATTTAACAAAGAGATTGAAATAATTTAAAAGAATAAAGCAGAAATTCTAGAGCTGATTAATGCAATTGGCACACTTAAGAATGCATCAGAGAATCTTAATAGCAGAAATAATCAAGGAGAAGAAAAGATTTAGTTGAAGACAGGCTAGTGGAAAATACAAAGGAAACAAAATTAAAGAGAATAAAGAATGAAGTACAACTATAAGATCTAGGAAATATCCTCAAAAGGGTAAATCTAAGTGTTATTTTCCTTAAAGAAAAGTACAGAAAGAGATGGGGGTAGAAAGTGTATTCAAAGAGGTAATATCAGAAAACTTTCCAAATCTAGAGAAATAAATCAACATTCAAGTACAAAGAGGTTACAAAACACCATGCAGATTTAACCCAAAGAAGACAACCTCAAGGCATTCAATAACCAAACTCCCAAAGGTCAAGGATAAAGAAAGGATCCTAAAAGCAGCAAAAGGAAAGAAACAAATAACATATAAAAGCTGAGGGATTCCATAAACACGAGACCTGTCTTACACGAAATGCTAAAGGGTGTTCTTTATTCTGAAACAAAATACATTAATACATAAGAAGAAATCATCTGAAGGTAGAAGACTCACTGGAAATAGTAGGGACATGGAAAAGCACAGAATATTATAACACTGTAATCATGGTATGTAAACTACTCTTAAGTAGAAAGGTCAAATGATGAACCAATCAAAAATTATAACTGCAACACTTTTCAAAACATAGACAGTACAATAAGACATAAAAAGAAACAATAAAAAGTTAAAAAGGGGGAGTATAAAGTTAAAGTATAGAGTGTTTATTAGTTTTCTTTTTGTGCTTCTTTGTTTATGCAATCTTTGCTATGTTGTCATCAGTTTAAAATAATGGGTTATAAGATAGTATTTACAAGTCTCATGATAACCTCAAATCAAGAACCATACAACAAATACACAAAAATAAAAAGTTACAAATTAAATCATATCACCAGAGAAAATCACTTTCACTAAAAGGATAAAAAAAGAAAAGAATGAGAGAGGAGACTACAAACCAACCAGAAAACAAATAAGAAAATGACAGGAGTGAGTCTCTAGTTGTCAATAATAACAAGGAAATAAATAGATGAACTCTCCAATGAAAGGACATAACATGTCAGAATAAAGAAAAAACACAAGACCCAATGATCTCTTGCCTTAAAAAAACAAACTTCTCCGATATAGATACACACAGATTGAAAATAAAGGGATGGCTAAAAGCTGTTTTATGCCAACGGCAACCAGAAAATGGCAAGAATATATTTACTTATATTCAACAACATAGATTTCAAGATAAACACTATAAGAAGAGACAAAGAAGGTCACTATACAATGATAAAGAAGTAAATTTAATAAAAGACATAACAATTATAAATATGTATGTACCTAACACTGGAGCATTCATATATATATAAAGCAAATATTATTTGATTTGCTGAAAATAAATAAATAAATAAAAAGGACATCCAAATCGGTAAAACAGAATTCAAATTACCTTTGTTTGCAGATGATATGATTTTATATTTGGAAAATCCTAAAGACACTACCAAAAACTATTAAAACTGATGGACAAATTTAGTAAATTTACAGAATACAAAATCAATATACAAAAATCAGTAGCCTTTCTATATGCCAATAGTTAATTATCGGAAAAATAAATCAGATTGTCTTTTTTCCAGTGCATGTTCTTGGCAACTTTGTCAAAAATAAGTTCACTGTAGGTATGTGGATTTGTTTCTGATTCTCTATTCTGGTCCATTGTTCTATATGTCTGGTTTTTTTTTGGCCAGTGTTATGCTATTTGGGTTCATATATCTCTGTGGTATAATTTCAAGTCAGGTAAGGTGATTCCTCCAGTTTTGTCCCTTTTTGCTCAGGACAGCTTTGGCTAATCTAAATATTACAGGGTTCCATATAAATTTTAGGATTGTTTTTCCCTTTCTGTGAAAAATATCATTGGTATTTTGATAGAGATTGCATTGAATCAATAGATTAATTTAGGTAGTATGGACATTTTAACAATATTGATTATTCTAATCCATAAACATGAAATATCTTTTTATTTTTATTTTTCTCTTCAATGTCCTTTATTAGATTTTATAGCTTTCATTGTAGAGTTCTTTCACTTTTGGGGGGGAAAATCTTCAGCACATTGGTCTGGGCCAAAATTTCTTAAGTAATACTCTAGAAGTACAAGGAAATGAAGCAAAAAAAAAAAAATGGACAAACGGGATCACGTGAAGTTAAAAAGCTTCTGCAGGATGAATAAAATAATAAACAAAGTTAAAAGACAACTCACAAAATGGGAGAAAATATTTGCAAACAATCTATCTGTCAAGGGATTCATAACAAGAATATATAAGAAGATAAAATAACTTCATAAGAAAAAATTCAATAATGCAATTCAAAACAGGCAATAGATTGGAGTAGATATTTCTCTGAAGAAGACATGCAAATGGCAAACAGGCATGTGAAAATATGTTCAACATAACTGATAATAAGAGAAAGGCAAATCAAAATTACAATGAGTTATTATCTTACCCCAGTTAAAATGACTTTTATCCCAGCCTGGGCAACATGCACAGCCCTGTCTCTACAAAAAATACAAAATTTATCCTAGCATTGTGGCATACACCTGTAGTTCCAGATACTGCAGAGGCTGAGACAGGGAGATCGCTTGATCCCAAGAGGTCAAGGCTGCAGTGAGCCATGATTGCACCACTGCACTCCAGCCTGGGTGACAGAACAAGACCCTGTCTCAAAAAAAAAAAAAAAAAAAAAAAAGCCTTTTATCCAAGAGACAGGCAATAACAAATGCTAGAGAGGTTGTGGAGAACAGGGAAACCTCGTACACTGTTGGTGGTTAAGATGAAAATTATTATAAACAATATGGAGAAGATTCTGAAACTTCCACAAAAACTTAAAAATGCAGCTACCAAATGGTATACCAATCCCACTACTGAGTATATACTAAAAAGAAAGAAAATATCAGTATATATCTCTCCAGCAAAAGTTCTGAACAAGGATGAGATGGCTGAAATTGCAGAAATAGAATTTAAAATATGGGTAGAGATGAAAATCATTGAGATGCAGGAGCACATTGAAGCCCAATCCAAGAAAGCTAAGGATCACAATAAAATAATACAGGAACTGGCAGATAAAATCGCCTGTATAAAAATGTACATAAACAATCTGATAGAGTTGGAAAACATACTATGAGAATTTGATAATGCAATCGTAAGTACTAACAGAAGAATAGACCAAACTGAAGAAAGAATTTCAGAGCTTAAAGACTGGATTTCAAAAATAAGACGTTCAGACAAAACAGAGAAAAAAATAGAAAAAAGAATAGAATAAAAAGGAAGAAACCAACCTCTGAGTAATATAGAAATATGTAGAGAGATCACATCTATGAGGAACACAAACTTATGAGGGAGACGGCGTATCAAACCCCGTAAAACAAAATACTTTTTAATGACCAAATATCAAGTTGAAAGGATGAACTCTGAAATGTATTTTATTCACCAAGCTTATGCAAAATTTTTGATAAGGTAATTAAGCTTCTTAAAATCTTTTGTCAATTTTAGGATAGGAAAGACTTAAGAAGATTATTTTTGTGAATATTTTTGTGATTATTTTGTGATCATTACATTTAAATTAGAGTAGTGTTCTCAAATGTGTATTCTTACTGGTACTATATGGCAGTATTGGATCGTATTCCTATCTTTGCCTCAATTTCTAATTGCCTAATACTCAATGATATGATCTAATTTAATTTACATATTAAATAACTTTTTAGTTCAAGAGTACATTTGCAGGGTTGTTTGTGTCATAGGGGTTTGTTTTACAGATTGTTTCATCACCCAGGTATTAAGCCTAGTACCCATTAGTTATTTTTCCTAATCATCTCCCTCCTCTCACCCTTTACCTTCCCATATGCCCCGGTGTCTGTTTTTCCCCTCTATATGTCTATGTATTCTCATTATTTAGCTTACACTGATAAGTGAGAACATGCGGTATTTGGTTTTCTGTTCCCATGTTAGTTTGCTAAGGATAATGGCCTCCGGCTTCATCTGTGTTCCTCCAAAGGACATGACCTCATTCTTTTTTATGGCTGTGTAGTATTCCATGATGTATATATACCACGTTTTCTTTATCCAGTGCACCGTTGATGGGTATGTAGGTTGATTGCATGTCGTTGTATTGTGAATAATGCTGCCATGAATATACATGTGCATGAGTCTTTACAGTAGAATTATCTATATTCCTTTGGGTATATACCCAGTACTGGAATTGCTAGGTTGAATGATAGTTCTGCTTTTAGCTCTTTGAGGAATCACCACACTACTTTCCACAGTGGTTGAGCTAATTTACATTGCAACCAACAGTGTATTAGTGTTGCTTTTCTCTGAAACCTTACCATCATCTGTTGTATTTTGACTTTTTAGTAGTTGCCGTTATGACTGGTGTGAGATGGTATCTCACTGTGGTTTTGATTTGGCATGTGTTTGTAGTGGCTGGTACTGGTTGTTCCTTTCCATGTTTAGTGCTTCCTTCAGGAGCTCTTGTAAGGCAGGCCTGGTGGTGACAAAATCTCTCAACATTTGCTTGTCTGTAAAGGATTTTATTTCTCCTTCATTTATGAAGCTTAGTTTGGCTGGATATAAAATTCTGGGTTGAAAATTCTTTTTTTAAGAATGTTGAATATTGGCCCCCACTCTCTTCTGGCTTGTAGAGTTTCTGCTGAGAGATCTGCTGTTAGTCTGACGGGCTTCCCTTTGTGGGTAACCTGACCTTTCTCTCTGGCTGCCTTAACATTTTTTCCTTCATTTCAACCTTGGTGAATCTGACAATTATGTATCTTGGGGTTGCTCTTCTCGAGGAGTATCTTTGTGGTGTTCTCTGTATTTCCTGAATTTGAATGTTGGCCTGCCTTGCTAGGTTGGGGAAGTTCTCCTCGATAATATCCTGAAGAGTGTTTTCCAACTTGGTTCCATTCTCCCCGTCACTTTCAGGTATACCAATCAAACGTAGATTTGGTCTTTTCACATAGGCCCATATGCCTTGGAGGCTTTGCTCGTTTATTTTTACGCTTTTTTTCTCTAAACTTCTCTTCTCGCTTCATTTCATTTATTTGATCTTCAATCACTGATACCCTTTCTTCCACTTGATCGAATTGGCTACTGAAGCTTGTGCATGCATCACGTAGTTCTCGTGCCATGGTTTTCAGCTCCATCGGGTCATTTAAGGTCTTCTCTACACTGTTTATTCTAGTTAGCTATTCGTCTAATATTTTTTCAAGGTTTTTAACTTATTTGCGATGGGTTCAAACATCCTCCTTTAGCTCAGAGAAGTTTGTTATTACTGATCTTCTGAAGCCTACTTCTGTCAACTCGTCAAAGTCATTCTCTGTCCAGCTTTGTTCCATTGCTGGTGAGGAGCTGCGATCCTTTGGAGGAGAAGAGGAGCTCTGGTTTTCAGAATTTTCAGCTTTTCTGCTCTGGTTTCTCCCCATCTTTGTGGTTTTATCTACCTTTGGTCTTTGATGATGGTGACCTACAGATGGGGTTTTGGTGTGGATGTCCTTTTTGTTGGTGTTGATGCTATTCCTTTCTGTTTGTTAGTTTTCCTTCTAACAGTCAGGACCCTCAGCTGCAGGTCTGTTGGTGTCTGCTGGAGGTCCACTCCAGACCCTGTTTGCCTGGGTATCACCAGCGGAGGCTGCAGAACAGCAAATATTACTCTGCACTATGTTTCTATACAGCACTCAACATCTTTTAACATGCTATAAAATTTGAGAGAGCAAATTAGCAAATAATAAAATTTGCTTATCTTATATATTTATTGTCTTTCTTTCACCACTAAAATTTAAGTGCCTGTCCCCTTTGAAATCCTTGCTCTGGATTCACAGGTCTTCTGTCGGTTCTTCCAACATGCTAAGCATGTTCATTTCAGGGCTTTTGTACAAGCTGTTTTCTCCACCTAGAAATCCTTCCCACATCTACACACCCAGTGTTAATAAACCTTCAGGAATAAACTTAAATATTACTTTCACAGAGAGACCATCTGTAACATCCTCAGCTTTCTTGATAGCATATTCTTTTATGTTAAGTAGGACATTTTTTTTTTTCTAGTTTGTCCTCTGGTAGACCTCAACTTCCCAGAGCAGGACCTGTTATAGAGTATTCAAAATATTTATTAGGGACATTTTTATTGTACACATAAAATTATGTGATAACATCACAAGTATTATGGCTATGTTTTACTACAATTTACCTTTTTTACTTTTTCCTCCCAAAGACATTTAATTTATATTCTGTTTTGAAAATGATATGGTGTTCTATAAAGCCTGTTATTGTGTGGGGGTAATATGGTTTGGCTGTGTATCCTCACCCAAATCTCATCTTGTAGCTCTCATAATTCCCATGTGTTGTGGGAGGGACCC
Source organism: Homo sapiens (assembly GCF_000001405.40). Classification (NCBI taxonomy): domain Eukaryota; kingdom Metazoa; phylum Chordata; class Mammalia; order Primates; family Hominidae; genus Homo; species Homo sapiens. The sequence continues at coordinate 5,652,215 of NC_000024.10, read as the reverse complement.
AGTGGGAGATGATTGAATTATGGAGGTGGGTCTTTCCTGTGCTATTCCCATGATAGAGAATGGGTCTCATGAGACCTGATAGCTTTAAAAACAAGAGTTGCCCTGCACAAGCTCTCTGTTTGCCTGCTTCCATCCATGTAAGACATGACTAGCTCCTCCTAGCCTTTTGCCATGACTGTGAGGTCTCTGCAGCCATGTGGAATTGTGAACCCAATTAGACCTCTTTCTTATGTAAATTGCCCAGTCTTATGTATGTCTTTATCAGCATGTGAAAAGGAACTAATACAGGGGGAGAATTGGTGGAGTTTTCTATTCCACCATCTTGCTTTGCCTTCTCCTTTTTTTTTTTTTAAATGAAGGAGGAGAACTTTCTTCTTGTTAAATATATTACTCCCCAACTTATCCTACATCCCTTTTAATATATTATTAAATCTCACTGCCTCCAAAGGTAAGCATCTTTTCACTTTTCATGTTGTTTTTTTACATGAACCTAACCTGTATCTCTTCTTCCATTTCTACTCTTTCCTAATTTATTCTTCTCAGAACAACTAAACATATCTTGTCTTTACTGTCTATTCTCATATATGCTTAAATGCAGTATAGACTTAGTGGATGATAATGATTGTATGGTGTCCACTAGTATATTGTATTTAATAAAGAAAATTTTCTTTAAGAAATGAAGGAATCTTAGAATCACTCCTTGTATTTGAATAATAAAGATATCATTATGTCTCTAATTTCTTAAGGAGAAAATAAATCTAATAGAAATTTAGGCTAAGGCAATAATCTCTGTCTTAAAAGAGTTTCCTATTGATGTCCTCTCCTTCTCTGGGTAACTCTGGGAGAATAAGAACTACATTTATCAGAAGCCAAACTTTATACATCAGCTAAACAATGGCAACTTGAAGTAGAAAAAGGCAGACCAGATCCTTTCAAGGTACCAGAGGTCCTAAATTAAAATGTATTTCTATTGGTATATCTTTCTTTCATGAAATTCCACTTACTAGACCTTATTTTCTCCAGTGTCCACTTTGTCCCTGTAGTATTGAGGTGGCTCTGTGTTATCATCACCAATACATTATAGTAACAAGACAAAAATTCTATTTATTCTTACAACACCAATGGAAAGTACACATTATATTATCCACACTAGTGAGATTAATAAACTCAAAGATATTTTTATTTCCAATCCCTTGGGCATACTGTTAGGTCATGATCTTTCATGATTTTTTCTCTGAAATATAATTGACTTTATTTCTGTGACAATATAAGGCTCTCACTAAATCCAGAAAAGCTCAGAACTAAGGAAGATTATATAAATGGGTCAGTCACTTAATATTAATATTTTTCATTTCAAGTTCTCTGGTATGTCAAATATTGTCAATTTTTTTTTCAGTATTAGTATCAGTATTTAGCTGCTTATTTAATATATTCATTAAAAAACTTCATATGTCAATTTTTTATAAAATCTGGTTGAGGAAATTTTCATAGCATGATACTCATTGTTAATAGCAAATAAGATGGCTTAAGCTAATAATATGTAAAAATATCTTTATGAATTAAACACATAAATTCACTGACGGTCTTCACACAGAGTTCAGATGTTCAAAAAACAGTAAACTTTAGTCAATTATTTACATTACAGGAAATTATATTCACCTATGGAGCTAATAACTTTGACATCTAAAGTTAAGAAAAATTGGAACACTGACATTCTACTGAAAGGAGTCTCTGGTAATTTTGATGGTACCTATGTATTCCTTACCCTTTGTTCTTGGTACACTGCAGAGTTTTACTTACAGAGTTAATTTTAATTTGAGACATCACATTTAGTCTTAAATTCTTACAAGAAATCTCATAGGAGTTGATAAAACTCTCTGTGTGTGCACACACATGCACTTTTAAATTAATGATTCATTCCTACTAAGTTGATTTTTTATGTGGTTTAAGGAAGCCTTTCTATTTCTAGTGTTTTTCTCACATGTGGGAGCTTCATTGAAGTGTTTCTCGCAATATAAAAATTGTAATTTTTGAAAATAATGCATTAACATGAGGATTAAGAAAAACCTACGGTATTATATTAACTTGAGAATTATAAAAAAAATTGCATTCTATATTGGCCACCAATATAGTTTAAGATGCACTGAAACGATCTCCATCTATGTTACTTTCCATATGGAAAAGATAATTTACAATGCTTGAAGTTTTGTAAACAACCTGATAACTAAATCTGATAATTTCATGACTAATACAATTGTTTCTATGGTAATCAGTTTTAGAAGACATGAAAAAAAACTTAAGCTAAAAACAATCGATTCAAATATTCATCACCCAGGGATAAAATATTATATCTTTGGAATATTTGTGGCTGAAGCATTCCTTCTACATCTTTTAAAATGTCTGCCATCTCATTCTTCAAGCACCGAACTATTGTGAAGAATTACTGTAACTTATGTACTAGAGGCCATAGTATCTTTAAAAGGGGCATGCATGACATAGAATTAGGAAAATGCTAAACTTACTCTTAGTATTGCAAACAACCATCTCTGGGATTTCTCCTGCCTCACAGCTATAGATTAAATCTATCATCGTAGGAAGGTTTTTATAAACGGTAAAATAACAACAATGCAAGGCCTGTTTTGGTGGGGGTGTATGCTCTTCCCCACCATTTCCTAGAAGTTTTGCATTCATACACTTTACAGGTAAAAGAGCAAGGGAATCCAGCTGTTTGCAAAATAGTAAATATTCAAATGATTTTGAATCTTTGAAACAATTTGTACTCCCCCATAGATGAAGCCTAATTAGAAGGGTTAATCTGCACCTCGACTTTGGGGTTTAAAGAACAATAAACAAAAATTGCTAATCTTTAAAAAATGTTTTCAGTCTTTGAGAACCATCTAAATTGAAAGCCACTTCTTTGGTTCAAAGGTTTCTTTTCTTTTCATCAGAGTATTTTGAATCACTTGTTTTTATATCCTTAGGTCTATTACATACTTTTTAATTTACAAACCCATATGTCACAAAAAAGAGGTCAATGCTCGCTAAGAAATGATATTTTATAGAGAAGTCCTTTGACTGTTTATTTCTGGTAAATCCTCACATAAGGTAACTTTCGATTATTATTTCTACCAAACCTAGAAAAGAACTGTTATCATCAATAATGGATGTCATTATTGACTCAAGTCATAGATAATTCCAGTTTTATGTTCTTATTCCCAAACACAATAGACCACTGCACCTTTATTTATTTATTTTTACTTTTAAAAGTATCTCCTTGTATTAGTCTTCAATAGAACATACTTTAGGAAATGCTGGTCTCTGCTTATCGATCTTCGAGTAAGGTAATTATTTTTTTCTTTTTCCTCAATCACTGACACTTAGCCAACAGATGTGTGACCTGTTCTGTGCTATTTATGTCTAATTATTCATAATTTTAAATTCCTTAATCCTCTGCACATTCTCTCCCATCTCAATGCTACTCTGAGCAAGACCCTAGACTGGCTATAACTCCTATAGTTGCTCTTTATTATCATAGTGTGAATGCTATATAGCATTACCAAGATCTATGAACACAAATAATAGAGAAGTAAAAATCTAGAAAGCTTTAGGATTGGTAATGGCACTAAATAATACATACAGATTCAGTGGACTGTGATTAGCATTTCTCTGAAAGGTATCACAGGCATGTTCCACTGTTAGAATAACCTTTTCAGCCATGGAATAAATCTAAATTAATGATGGAAACCATGACTGATGCATCTAGCATTAATAACTCATCCAGAAACAAACAATGGTGATGTGCCTGTTACATCAACACAGATGGCTCGCTAATCACTGCCTATTTCGGTAAACATCAATCCTACTGTGTTTTTTTCTCCAGAAAATTTTTTCATCCTATAAACCCATAAAAATGGCAACTTTCCACAGTGTGAAATATAATGCTCAGGATAAAGTGGTGCATTAAAGCATTCTACCCTTTAGTTCAGACAGCGATCTAAATCTAACGTAAGGCTGGGTTTGTTTAAAGTATGTGGATCTAATTATCTCATGCAGCATATCCCTCTGTGACCTTTATCAATCCTGCACTTATCTTTCACCAATTAATAATGTTACAAATAATAGGGCTTAACATGCACCTTATTTTCTGGGTCTTAATGCTGATATTCTCATTTTGTCACCAGAGTTACAGTATGCATTTGTAGGTAGTATTTTTAAAAGACAACTGAATGTTCTTTTTTTCATACTTAAAACTTCATTAAAACATTACGTCTTCTTTTCTTAGAGATTTTGACATAATAATTTGAATTCTTATTAAAATATAGAGAAATATAATAACACTGGCAGGATTATATGGAAATGGGTTGAACTGGAATTTCTCTAAGGATTCCCATCACAACTTAGGACTCAAGGCTGCGAGTGGTGGCTCATGCCTGTAATCCCAGCACTTTTGGGAGGCCAAGGCAGGTGGATCACCTGAGGTCGGGAGTTCGAGACCAGCCTGACCAACATGCAGAAACCCCCTCTCTACTAAAAAATACAAAATTAGCCGGTTGTGGTGGTGCATGCCTATAATCCCAGCTACTCGGGAGGCTGAGGCAGGAGAATCACTTGAATCCAGGAGGCGGAGGTTGCGGTAAGCCAAAATTGCGCCATTGCACTTCAGCCTAGGCAACAAGAACGAAACTCCGTCTCAAAAAAATAAATAAATAAAAATAAAACAACTTAGGACTCATTAAATACATGTAGGATATGCACATGTGCGTATGTCTGTATATGTGTGTGTGCATATAATTTTTATTTTCTTAAACTAAATCTTCTCTTTAATTTTGCTAGGTACATTATGTATACTCCTGTTCTAGAAAAATGACGCAAATTCTTTTAATCAAATAAAGAGACCGTTTTCACTATTAATCCCCCAGTTATCAATCTCATTCTGTTTATGATTCGTGTCTGGGAATAAGAGTACATTTAGAAGTAGTTCTAATAATTCACCCCGAAATGTAGAATGCCCCTTATGCTAAAAGAGCTATCTTGAAATATGTCAGATAAGGGTCCACTTAATTCACTCATGTACTCTTTCATTTATTCATTATAAATCTATAATATCCAATATGCTGGATATTACTGCTTGAAATGAAGAAACTTAGTTCTGTCAGCAAAGTAAAATTCAGATATTTGGGCTGAACAATTCAGTTGGATCTTGAATACATGAGTAAATGTTCTTCCCAAGAAATACTCAATTATGTTAGATCCCTTCTCATGGGCAGGATTTTTAAATAGGAGAATATATTTTATGTGTTGCTCTTTTAAAAAGTATTTTCTTTTAGCTTTAGGGTCTGATAAATGTTTTAAAGTAAATTAATTTTAGGGCTAATTTTCTAGCTTATTATAGTAAATAAGACTGGCTCATTTGAGACAGTGTCTAGTGCTTTAAAATAAGTTATAACCTTTCTAAAGATATGTTAATAATACCATGTGTAATTTAGCAAGAAAAAATGTGTTCACTAATTTCAAATATTCTTCATGGGAATTGAAATCATAATACTTTTTTTTTTAATTTCTAATTTTTTATTTAATTTTTGTGGGTACATACCAGGTGTATATATTCATGGGGTACCTGAGATGTTTTGATACAGGCATGCAAAGTGAAATAATCTCATCATGGGGAATGAGATATTTCTCCCCTCAAGCATTTATCCTTTGAATTTAAAACAATCCAATTACACTTTTTAAGTTATTTAAAAATGTACAATTAAGTTATTATTGATTATAGTGACGCTATTGTGTCATCAAATTGTAGGTTTTATTTGTTCTTTCTGTATTTTTGGGCCCACTAACCATCTCCACCTCATCCCAAACCCCGGCTACCCTTCCCAGACTCTGGTAACCATCCTTCAACTTTCTACCTTCCTGAGTTCAATTGATTTTATTTTTAGATCCCACAAAAAAGTGGGAACATGCAATGTTTGTCTTTCTGCACCTGGTTTATTTCACTTAACATAATGATCTTCAGTTCCATAGGTGTTGTCGCAAATGGCAAGAGCTCATTCTTTGCTATGGCTAAATAGTATACCACTGTGTGTATGTACCACATTTTCTTTCTCCATTCATCTGTTGATGGAAAGTTGGGTTGCTTACAAATCTTAGCTATTGTAAACAGTGCTGCAACAAACATAGGAGTGCAAATGTCTCTTCAATATACTGTTTTCCTTTCTTTTTGGTATATATCAAGCAATGGGATTGCTGGATCATATGGTAGCTCAATTTTTGTTTTTTTGAGGGAACTCCAAACTGTTCTCTATAGTGGTTGTACTAATTTACATTTCCACCAACACGGTACTAGGGTTCCCTTCTCTCCACATCTGCACTAGCATATGGTATTGCCTGCCTTTTGGATAAAAGCCATTTTAACTGGGGTGAGAGGATATCTCATTGCAGTTTGGATTTGCATTTATCTGATGTTCAATGATGCTGAGCACTTTTTCAGATGCTTGTATGAGATTTGGGTGTCTTCTTTTCAGAAATGTCTATGGATATATTTTGCCCATTTCTGATGGTATTATTAATATTTTCCTATTGAGTTATTTGAGCTCCTTATATATTCTGGTTATGAATCACTTGTCAGATGGGTAGTGTGCGAACAATGGCTCCCCATTGTAAACATGAACTATTAAGCAAGCAATTAGAGTAGAGCTTATTAAAAAAATCTCAATTCTCCTAAAGTCTTAGCTTCATGAAGGAATTTGAAAATTCTTCTTTTCTTCACTTCATTTTTGCCACACCTACAGTACTCCAAAGGCTGCTAATGATCATAGAACTGGAACCATATACCAAATGTTATGTTGCAGGTTGTAGAAGAAAAAAGAAAAAAAATGCTAAAGTCAGCCTACGAGGACATACATCTCCCGTGATGAATTAAGAATGAATTTTATTTTAAGGGCAGATACTCTTCAAAGTTCAGATACTGACCTATTATATTCTGATCCCTGAAAAAGATTTGGCTACAGGGAGCAACAGGGAATCTGGAGCCCAAGTACTGAATTCTATTTGTTAGTATTGTATCCCAATTCATTCTTAGGTCACCCTGTAGCACTCCGTGTTTAATCTTCTAAAATTTAAAAAATTGGAGCAAAAAATAAGAAAATGACCCAATGAATGAATTCCATGCCCTCACGAAATTTGCATTATTATTGAAATATTTTTCTTTTAAATGGTTATCAATTAAAGCTTCAAAAAACTAGCTTCAAGAAAGGATATTGTTATAATATTTGTAAGGCAAGGTTGATAAAGAATGTATTAACTTTTCAATATTCAGTTGTGTACATGGTTGGCCAAGAACTGATAAGATAGTAATTCTACTTTTTTTTTTTTTTTTTTTTTTGAGAAAGAGTTTTGCTCTTGTAGCCCAGGCTGGAATGCATTGGTGCAATATTGGCCCACTGCAACCTCTGCCTCCTGGGTTCAAGCAATTCTCCTGCCTCAGCCACCCATGTAGCTGGGATTACAGGCATGCACCACCACTCCTGGCTAATTTTTGTATTTTTAGTAGCGATGGGGTTTCACCATGTTGGTCAGGCTGGTCTCGAACTCCTGACCTCAGGTGATCCACCCACCTCAGCCTCCCAAAGTGCTGGGATTACAGGCGTAAGCCACTGCACCCAGACAACTCTACTTTTTTTAAAGTCTTACTTTGGTAATTTCATGCAGTATCACTTTTGCAAAAACATTGAATTATTTTTATCTTCTTTACATTGTTCTTATGTCTATAAAGTAGAAAAACAAGTTGCAAACAAAGACATAATTCAGGAAGGAAAATCTAGCAGTTGACAAAAAGAATTCAAAATTAATAAGAGAGTTATGCTAATGTTAATTGTAATACTGCATAGATACAAAGGTTAAGTTCATTTAATAAAAATGAGGTTTAAGTTCATTTTGTGGGTTGATTGAAGACATGTAATAGTTTATGAATATTCTTCCAAGTTTCCATTTAAGGATTCCTTTCTGGCACTGTTTTATATTAACTGAGTAGGGAAAACATTTAGGTGTTCCCAACTGTCAGAGTTAATTCTGTGGTAGGTTGAGGATTAATTATTAGAAATCATAGAGTTCCTCATAGCAAAAACACAAGGTCCTGATTAGAGACACAAGCACATGCCCTGTACTAAATTTTAGGTATTACTATACACATACACTTGTACAGATGATACTCTCTGAATTTTCTATGCTGCTATTAAGTTAACTTTAGTTAGTTATCACATCTCAAGGGAATGTCAAGTCACAGAATGGCAAGAGATTGAAACAACAGTCTATTGAAGGGACAAAGAACAGAATACCAGATGATAAATTTAATTAGTAATTGGTCTTAGAAAAAAAAAAAAGGTCAAATTCATGCTGAAAACTACTGCTCCAATGAAACTAAACACAAATCTTTTTTTTAATGGGTACAAAAATAGGGATGGGGTTACTGACAACTGGGCAGTTGCTATGGGCAGTAGATATCAATATGGGCAGTAGATACCCATATTGGAAGATAACATGTCAGAAATCAGAATATAAGCCAGAAAAATAAATATTCTTGTCTCATTCGTTTTACTATAATGTGTATTTGCAGAAGTCGCTTCTGAAAAATGAACAGGCAAATAATTCAAATTTTGGATAAAAGACGTAGAGTAGAATTTGGACATCTGGATTTTCCCCTGTTAACCTGATTTATGTCTTGATGTATTTGCTTCAGATTATAAACCCCGATTCGCAACTCTAGAGCAACTTAAAGCGAGAAGATGGAAAAGAGATCTTTTGTTTAAAATCAATGAAGATAAAGGCAGAATCACGGTACTGAGGTATAATAGTATTTAACATTTAACTCCATATAATATGTAATAAATGAAAACAGAAATTTTGCTCTGTGTAGTTTTGCATTTGAAGCCACTTTTGAAATGTTCTCGAACACCAATCTCTTGTCTTCTGTGCTAAGCGTTTACTCATATGGCTTGTAACCTCCCTAGTACTGCATACAGAAAAAAATTCTAATCTCAGAAAGAACTCACCTTAATTGAAAAATTGATTCATAAAAAAGAATCTAAAATGGCCTATTTCATTTGAAAAAAATGCTAAAAATTACATAAAAACAAATGTATGATGGATTGTGAGGTGAAGGATAATAAAAAGAAGAAAAACAAAAAGAGAAGAAGCTTTGGATTGGGGAGTAAGAAAAGTGAAAATAAAAGAAAGAATTTCATGACAATGCGAACTACCAGAAAGGCATACTGATTCACTGCTGCAAAACCTCTATCTCTGGAAGTCTTTAAAAGAAAAGATAAGTGTTCACTACAGTGCCTGACCCTTCCCTTAGAGAAGCCCTGTGAACTTTATGGGACAGAGTGACGAAAGCAGATAAGGAAAACAGTGGAGAAAATCTCTGGCATCCACCACTGAGTCTAGGAGGGAATTTTGGTGGTCACATATCCTGTGACCTTCAGTTAAGACTGCAATAGCACTAGTTAATGTCAAATTTCAATCATCATTCAACATGTTTTCTTCTGAGATCTGAGCGATGTCTAACGTTACTCTTGCTTTTTATAGAAAGAAAATGTAGCTCACAGCTCTCTAACACCTTAAGAGAGAAAAATGAAGAGGAAATGACTGGATGCAACATTTGTGGAGCAATTTAATAATATAAAATTTTAGAGCTAGACTAATAGTAACTATTCCCTGTATATCTAGAAAGGGATTCAAAGAAGCCAGTGGGCTGAGTACTATGCAAAAAAAGGTGACTCATCCAAACTAATAAATATCATTATTTTGGTCAAAAAGCAGTGCATCACTGAGAAAAATAGATATGACATTGGATAGCAACTACAGAATGGATTGCCTGTCGCTTTGATGTTATTCTGGGGGAAAAGACATTAAAATAAGACACATTTTAAAAGATGTGCATATCATTAAAATAGTGCAGGAGGCCTTGCCTCTTATTTTCTTTCCTTTATATTTAGCTCACTCTCTGAATGGCCCATCTATGGCAGATTTGTCAGAAAGCCTTACTTTCTTAGTGGCCAAATCTTAACTGCTGAGAATAACTCTTGGATACATTTCATCCAAGTGATGTAAAGTTCTGGGAGAAGCATTATTCTTAGGGTCAGACTGACTTGGCCTTGATTTTTTGTTTTGGCACTTTAAAATTTTTGATCTTAGGAAAGTTAATTAACTCTCTCACCACAATATGTTACCCACTTTTTCTTAAGCTCCACAGTGAGTTTGGAATTCCTCTTCTTCAGAAGGACTATTTTGAAAATTAGATATAACATCTGTAAATTGCTCAGCGCAGCATGTTGTAAACACAATAATATAACATTTACAAGCATACCACATTTTACTGCACTTCACTTTGTTGTTCTTTACAGATGTGTTTTTTACATATTGAAGATCTGTGGCAACCTTGTGTCCAACAAGTCTATCCATGCCGTTTTTCTAACAGCGTGTGCTTACTTTGGGTCTCTGTGTCACATTTTGGTAACTCTCACAATATTCCAAACGTTTTCATTATTATTATATCTGTTATGGTGATTAGTGGCCTTGGATGTCACTATTATAATTGCTTTGGGATACCACAAACCAGGCCCAGATAAGAGGGCGAACAATCAATAAATGTGTGTGTTATGATTACTCCACTGACCAGCCATTTTCCCATCTCTCTCTTTTTCTTCTGGCCTATTTCCTGACACACAACAATACTGAAATCAGGCCAATTAATAACCGTAAAATGGCATCTTACGTGTTCAAGTGAAAAAGAGTCATGCATATCTAACTTTATATCAAAGGTAGAAATGATTAAGCTTAGTGAGAAAGACATGTCAAAAGCCAAGATAAGCCAAAAGCTAGACCTCTTGCACCAAATAGTTTGCCAAGTTGTGGCTGCAAAGGACAAGGTCTTGAAGAAAAGTAAAAGTTATATTCCAGTTAACACATTAATTACAAAAAAGCAAAACAGCTTTACTGCTAATATTGAGAAAGTTTTGCTGGTCTGAACAGAAGTTCAAACCAGTCCCAACATTCCTTTAAGCTAAAGCCTAATCCAGAGAAAAGATTAATTCTATGAAGGCTGAGAGGTAAGGAAGCTGCAGAAGAAAACGCTGAAGCTAGCAGGGGTTGGTTCATGAGGTTGAAGGAAAATAGCTATCTTCATAACAAAAAAGTGCAAAGTGAAGCAGCAAGTGCTGATGAAGAAACTGCAGGAAGTTATCCAGATCTAGCTAAAGTAATTCATGGAGGTGGCTACACTAAACAGCAGATTTTCAATGTAGATGAAGCAGCCATAGAGTGAAAGAAGATACCATGTAGGACTTTCATAGAGAAAAGAAGTCAATGCCTAGCTTCAAAGCTTCAGAGGACAGGCTGATTCTCTTGTTAGTAGCTAATGCATTTGACAACTTTAATTTGAAACCAGTGCTCATTGACCATTCTGCAAAACCTAGGGCACTTAAGAATTACGCTAGATGAACTGAGCCTGAACTCTATAAATGGAACATCAAAGCCTGAATGACAGCACATATTTTCGTAGCATGGTTTACTGAATATTTTAACCCAACTGTTTAGATCTGCGGCTGAGAAAAAAAGATTCCTTTCAACATATTACTGCTCATTGCCAATGTACCTGGTCAGTCAAGAGCTCTAATGGAGACATACGAGCAGATTAAAGTTGTTTTCATTCTTGCTAACACAACATTCATTCTATAGTCCATGAATCAAAGAATAATTTTGATATTCAAATCTCATTATTTAATAAACATATTTTCCATGGGTATAGCTGCATTGAATTGTGATTCCTCTGATACATCTGTGTAAAATAAATTGAAAATTATTTGGATAAGGTTCACCATTCTAGATGCCATTAAGAACATTCATGATTCATGGGAGGGGGGTCAAAATACTAACATTAACAGGAGTTTGGAAGAAGTTTATTCCAACCTTCATGGACGACTTTGAGAGGTTTAAGACTTCAGTGAAGGAAATCACTGCAGATGTGGTGGAAATAGCAAGAGAACTAGAATTAAAAGTGGAGCCTGAAGATGTGACTGAACTGCTCCAATCTCATGATAAAATTTTAACAGATGAGGAGTTGCTTCTTAAGGATGAGCAAAGAAAATGGTTTCTTGACATAGAAACTACTACTGGTGAAGATCCTGAGGACATTGTTGAAATATAAATAAAGGATTTACAATATTATGTAAGCTTAGTTGATAAAGTGGCAGCAGTGAGAGGACTGACTCCAATTTTTTAATGAAGTTCTACAATGGGTAAAATACTATCAAACAGCATGGCAGGCTACAGAGAAATCTTTTGTGAAAGGAAGAGTCAATTGATGCAGCAGACATCACTGTTGTCTTATTTTAAGAAATTGCCAGGCCAGGTGTGGTGGCTCATGCCTGTACTTCCAGCACTTTGGGAGGCCAAGACAGAAGAATTACTCAAGTCCAGGAATTCAATACCAGCCTGGTCAACATGGCGAAATCCTGTTTCTACAAAAAAAAAAAAAAAAAAAAAAAATGCCACAGCCACTCCAACCTTTAGCAACCACCACTCTGATCAGTCAGTAACCATCAATATTGAGGTAAGACCTTCCACCAGCAACAAGATTACTATCCCCTGAAGGTGCAGATGATCTTCAGCATTTTTTAGCAATATTTTTAAACTAAGGTATATACATTTTAAAAGACATAATGCTCTTGCACATTTAATAGACTATAGCTTAATGTAAACACAATTTTTATATGCATTGGGAAACCAAAAAAAAATCTGAGAGATTTGTATTTATCAGTATTTCACTTTATTGCAATGGTCTGGAACTGAGCCCACAATATCGTCGAGGTATGCTTATTCTATAAATACCGTTAAGTGTTCATGTTGATTCCTTTCTATTTCTCTCCTTTATCCCCACAAGATTTGTATTTATCAGCATTTTTCCTGTACTTGGAATTATTTTTACAAGTGGTGTCTAATTATCCTATCTCCTCTCTTATGTAATTAGAAGCCAATCAGTTTTTCCCTCCACCCTATCCCACAGGACAAAGAAAGTGCTTAATGTTTGTCAGTATTATTTTTCAACCATTATAGTAAAAATTCAAATCTCCAAAGATACAGCTATTGATACTATTGTTATCTTTGGTCAGAAACCCTCAAAAGCTCAAAAGATTTACATGTTTTTGGGGGCTTTTACTATTAAAATGTACTTAAAAAGAGCATATGAAGGCAAAATGAATGAGAGGAATAAAGACAAAGTATATCCTTGTAAATATGACATACTGAAGAAATGAAGTATACTATTTGACTGTACTGAGATTATTAAAAATTAACTAATAATAAAGGGTACACTTTTGATTTACCTGTCATAAGTCAAAAAAACAAAGAATATGACGTCACTATGATATTTGTTTTCTAATCCCTATAATAAATTGAACTAATTAGAACAGATAGGTTAATACCCTTTTTGATAGATGAGTTCATAGTCACTAATGATATATTTTTATCTTGAGCAAAGAAGGAGTCATAATTAATTATACTTAAGTACGTTGCCAGAATGATATTAATTTAATCATAAAGTAAAAATAAAAAGATAAAGCACATATAAGATGGCATTAGGAGAGAGGAAGAGATCAATTTTGTATCATGTTTTGATAGAGATAATAAAGAAGTCTATTTGCTACTATAATAGAAGGATAAATACAAGTTTGGCTTCAATTATGAATGAGATAACACCCAATTCCACTGCTGCCTACTGTGTGAGCTTGAGTGAGTTACTCATCTTCTCTATATGGATTTCTTCATCTGCCAATACATTGTATTAAGCACTAGGCATGTGTAATGTATTATCACAACAAATGAAGTTTTATGAAGCATTATGGTCCTCATTTTGCAAATGAAGAAATGTGGTTCAAAATGTCCAAGGCCAAACAGTATAGTAAGCAGCAGAATCAGAACTTAAAAAATTTTTTTCCAGCCCTTTGGGAGGTTGATGAAGGTGGATCACGAGGTCAGGAGATCAAGACCATCCTGGCTAACACGGTGAATCCCCGTCTCTACTAAAAATACAAAAAAATTAGCTGGGTGTGGTGTCGGGCACCTGTAGTCCCAGCTACTCGGGAGGCTGAGGCAGGAGAATGGCGTGAACCTGGGAGGTGGAGCTTACAGAGAGCCGAGATCACACCACTGCACTCCAGCCTGGGCGACAGAGCGAGACTCTGTCTCAAAAAAAAAAAAAAAAAAAAAAAAAAAAAAAAAAAAAAAAAAAAAAAAAAAAATTTATTGGTAAGCCATAGTGAAAGTTCCCTGCAAGATTTAATTTGTATCTAGGGAACTTTTCTTTTGCTAGCATGCTCGCAGAAGGTCTTAAACAGGCCAAGCTAGGATATAATCCTGAAGGCCCTGATTATTCTACCTTTTGTAAGGTTGAGGAAAGAGGACTTACATAAGCAAGTCAAATAGGTCACTGGACCAAGTGGAAAGTATAAAACATTGGCTCCTTTTAATCGTTACGAAGATTGTGATGTTCAAGAAGATAAATTGACTCAGTTAAGTAGATCCATAGCAGACTCCTTAACATTCACTGGATTGAGTTTACAGAGTATGTATATATATACTTCATATATGTGCACATGCACACACACATAGTTTTGTGATTATTATTGCTAAGGAAGCTCTAATAACAATATCCACATGATAGGTAAGGATAAAGTAAATGAAACTTACAGGAAGATTTTGAAAAACATGGAAAGACATTTCACAAAGGGAAAACATATCACATTTACTTCTCAATTTGGATGAGTTTACTGATATTTTTCAAGATAAAAGTTCAGTTAAAACCACAGAATTAATTAACACAAAGAGGTTTAAGGCAGATAGGAAAGAGATTCAACTTAAAAAACTATTTAAAATTATGTGATAGTTTTTACATACTGGTTTGCTTAAACCAACCAATAAAAAAAGAGAAATCAATCCATCAATTTTGAGATTAATCTATCATCTTAGAGCAAGCAATTTTTACCAAAAGAAGACAGAGCTGAGCCCCTGTGAATGAAAATGCTATCATTGCACTATGACAATATTTGTTAAAAATCACAGAAGTCAACAATTACAGAGTATAGTTTGATGGACTTGATATATGAAAACAGTAACATTTTTTACAAATAGAGAAAAAACTTTATTGAATCAGGTAGCATTGCTCAAGAGGTATTTCACCCAAAGTTTATGGATGTAACTTTTCATGATAGGAAGTGAAGCTGGGAAGAGAAGATGGAAGGGGAAGCCTACTTCACATAAATGTCTGAATTAAGTGAATACTTTAGAAAATAAATTTGATTTTATTAATTTTCGTATAATTAATGCTATATATATTTAGGCAGAAATAAAAATCCCATGAGATAAAATTTAATAAAGACACAAATCCCATTTAAAATGAGCAGTCCTTTTTATACAGTTGGCTATCTAATGTTATATATTTAAGACCAGTGTTCTGGTACACTGTATTTCCCTTGAAAACTAGTTCACATGATTAATTTTCTTATCTCAAAGTTTATTTCACTGGGCATAAAGCAATCCATGTTTGAATTACCACGAAGGCTATGGAAAGTTTATACCATTGCCAGCTTTACCAAAAGAATGGTAATGTGATGTAGCTATGTCACTACTAATTGTTGACAATTTTCTCAAGAGCCTGAATTGGCTTTCAGAGAGATCTCTGATGCAATTCCAACTCACATTTGAAATTTGGTATGCATGCACACACACACTCAAGCTCTGTTTTTTATATTTTGGGTTTTTTAAATGCACAGACAATTGCAACAAAAGAAGGGAGGATAAAAGTTATGGGATAGGGTAGAATAGGGAAGGTTCGAATCATTCAGATTATTGTTATCTATTCTCCAATTTGCCCTTGATGGGAAACAATTAATAAAATATTGGGTACTGTGAGACATTATTTAGTTCACATTCAGCCTGGACAATACCTCACATAAATCAATCCAGGCTTACATTCTCACATCTTTCACAAAAAGTCATTCTTTTATTTAGCAAGTCATTGTCAGAAAAACACCCAGTCGTGCCTATCATAGATCACCTTATCTTACATTTCTCTTGCCAGGTCAGTCCCTTTTCTCTGAAATGGTCCTGAAGATGGCAGATGCCAAATGTTAGAAAGATACTGTTCTCTGAAATGAACCTTCATATATAGATGGTTGTGTTTGTGGTTGAGGTTGTTCTCGTCGTTTGACATTGTGTGTTTTATTTTCTAACACAGGAGGAAATTAAGAAAATTGTAAAATCTGAGTCTTTATAAGACAGATTGATTACCTCTATAAATATAATGCAAATGCATACTTTGGAAAATACACTGATCATATTTGAAATTCTAAATTATTTATAGTAAACCTATATGTAAAGTATAGTTTAATTATATGATTCAGTAATCTTTTTCCCCCTTGGGATTTGATTTTTTACTAGTCTCAGCATTGTATATTAAAATTTTTGTTGTTGTTAAACTATGTGAACTAGAAAGCATTTTTCAAAATACTTTTTTCCATTAGAAGATAAAACCTATTCTCATATTCCACTTCTGTTAACAAAAAGTCAGACGTTAATCAAGCTGAAAAAGCTTCATTTTATTTCTTCATTTCCCCAAGCATTCACCAGTACATTTCACAGAATCTTTTATTTTCTGAACTTCATCATATCAAGACTTTTGTTTAGTCCTGTTCTGTTTTTATTTAGAATCATCATCTTTTCCCTGTTTCTTTTCTAAAATCCACATGCTTTTCAACCTCCTATGACTGGAAATAGTCTAAGATCACCAGTCAAGTTGGCACAAACATGATTGCCAGGGATTAACAACCCCTCAATTCAATAGGCAGAATTATGTTCACACAGCTGAGAAGATATAAATCAGTCACTTTTCTAATTAGGTTCCAAGTTTGATGGAATTATCAAGACTTCACCTGGTAAAATAGAAGCTTATAAGCAGAAAAAGGTCTATGAGTCTTTCCTCTTTATTTGAACAGGATATGAACTATACCCATTTACTGAATCATGAGCAGTATAACATTTCAAGAGAACAATTTCTTTTTCATTTGACCTACTGCTTCCCTAGGTATATTTGCAAATGAAAGACATTTTCCAATAGAAAATATCAAACATGTATCCAAGTACTTTGTAATAACACTAAATTTGTAATATTACTTAGAGCAATTATTATTATTATTGCTATTGTACAGAAAAAAATTGTCATTGCTTTCAATATGGTGGGTAGCTTTTTCAGATGAAGAAATTTTAATTAGACGACCCTTTTTTGATGGAAACATATTTTATTAACTAAAAGTAAGGGTACATTATAAACTTAATGCTAAAATGCCACACACACACACACACACACACACACACACACAGATACATTTTTCTTATCTTCAGCAGTTGGACGACTGGTAATGCGTTAGCGGTAAATAGGTAACCCTTTTATCGTTTGTGTTTTAGTCCATAACGTGTCATGGCAGCCCGCGGCGGCGGCGGCTACAGCGAAATGGCGGAGTCCATGGCTGACACCCAGTGGCTGATCACCAAGCCGCAGAACCTGAATGACGCCTACCGGTCCCCCAGCAACTTCCTTGAGATCTATGAGCAACGGGCAGACTGTGGGGGGCGGCTGGGGCCGCTTCACCACATTCGAAATCAGGGTCAAGGCTACCCTTTCTTTAAATTCACATAAGAACATTTGGACTTTGAATTCTAGACTTATTAACTTAGGGTATTTGCAAAAATATTCTTTATGAAATAATAAGAAATGAGAATTGACTAGTAAATAAACGAAAAATATGCTCAATATGTATCTCCCTGAAACACGTATTATCGTACTATTTGAAGACTTACCTTTTCTTATAAGATAAATCAATACATATGACAAGAGTTAGAGTCGGTTTTGAAGGATAAGGGTGATTCTTTTCTTTTCTTTTTTTTTTTTTTTTGAGGTGGAATCTCGCTCTGTCGCCCAGGCTGGAGTGCAGTGGCGCGATCTCAGCTCACTGCAAGCTCTGCCTCCCGGGTTCACGCCATTCTCCTGCCTCAGCCTCCCGAGTAGCTGGGACTACAGGCGCCCGCCACGACGCCCGGCTAATTTTCTGTATTTTTAGTAGAGACGGGGTTTCACTGTGTTAGCCAGGATGGTCTCGATCTCCTGACCTTGTGATCTGCCCTCCTCGGCCTCCCAAGGTACTGGGATTACAGGCGTGAGCCACCACGCCCGGCCAGGTGATTAATTTTTAATATTTATTTATTATTTTTGAGATGTAGTCATGCTCTGTCACCCAGGCTGGAGTGCATTGGGGAGATCTTGGCTCACTGCAACCTCCACCTCCTGGGTTTAAGCTATTCTCCTGCCTCAGCCGCCCGAGTAGCTGGGATTACAGGCGCACGCCACCACACCCAGCTATTTTTTTGTATTTTTAGTAAAGATGGGGATTCACCATGTTGGCCAGGCTGGTCTCGAACTCCTGGCCTCAGGTGATCCACCCGCCTCGGCCTCCCAAAGTGCTGGGATTACTGGCGTGAGCCACCCAGTGGGCGATTTAAAGGTATTAATTTTGATCACTTCAAACTGTTAAGCCAGATGCCCTAAAATAATTATAACCAAAACCGATTTGAGAAAACTAAACTTTATCTGATCTTATTCCGCCTCCTTATTCACAAAATGCTGGTGAGAACATAAAATGGCACAGCTGCTTTGGAAAACAGTTTGGCAGGTCTTAAAGCATAGAGTTACCATATGAACTGGGTATTTCACTCCTAGGTATATATCCAAGAGAAATGAAAACATAAAAGTGTCTGTGCACAGAGACTCATACATGAATGTTTATAGAAGAATTGCTCATAGTAGCCAAAAAGTAGAAACAAGTCAAACTGATGAGCGGATAAACAAAATATGTCATGTCCATACAATGGGATATTAGTCCACCATAACAAGTAATGGAGTACCGATACATACTACAATATGGATTAGCCTTAAAAACACTATGCTAAGTGAAGCCAGATAACATACTGTACAATTCCATTTATATTAAATGTTCAGAATATAACTATATGAACAGAAAGCAGACTAGTGGTTGCTCAGAATTGGGGTGGCCACAGTCTTTCTTGGGGTGAGGAAAAGTGTTCTAAAATTGGGTCATTGTGATGGTTGTAGAAGTCTGTAAATTTGTTAAAAATCATTGAATTGTACACTTATAATAGGTGAATTTCCTGGTATATAATTTATACTTCAAAGAATCTGTAAAAAACTACGTATTGAAAGATGAAGAAGTCAATGTGAAGAACTTTATGAAAATAACAATACAAAAGGGAAAAAAAGTACTTTTCAAATTGAAAAGTTTAAATGAAAAAAATGTTGACATAAGTGAATCTTCAGAAGCTTAACCCTCATTTCAAGCCTGAGTTGTTAAGATTTTCAATAGAAATAATATTTATACATTGAGATGTTTTATAGCCAATAGAAAACCTCATGAAATTTTACCTTATGTGGTGGCCAGAATTCTAATATTCTCATTTTGTGTAATACCAAACATTAAGGAATTACTCACTATGCATTATTCTTATCAATTCCATAAGCCTCATATCCCCTTTTACTTCCAAAGTTTCTTCATTATTTTTGCTAGTAATATTTTTAGCACCCTCACAATATAAAGGTTGTTACTTTCTTAGTTGGAAATGCTTCTTCTTGTCATCACCAGTAAAATAACAATTTGCATAGTTTTGTGGGTTTTGTTTTAGAAAGAACAGGTGAAACTTTTAAGTTATTCAAATTGCAATGGGTATGTGTACACATGTATATTAAAAATTCATTCACCATTGAGTTACCACTTTTGTTTGGATTTTAACAATAGTAAGCATACGAATATACTATTTGTGTATTTTATAACTATAAAAGAACTAACTTGTACTGAATAAGCACCACCCTAAATGTTTTACAATCATTCTCTCTCAATTAATCCTCATATTAAATATAGCTGACCCTTATTGAAGACCTAATCTATGCCAGGAACTCTTCTAAAAACATTGGATACATCATCTCTCATTTACTCTTCAAAGCATTTCCATGAGGTAGGTACTAATATTATCTCCACCTGAGAGATTAGAAAACTGAGGCATAATTAAGTAACTTGCCCATGACCATATAGCTAATAATTGCAGAGATGAGAGTAAAAATTTAGTCAAGAACGATGGTCTTAACCACTACATGATGTTGCCTTCTACTTTGTATTAAAATTTCAAGCTTTATTTCAAAATGATCTAAAAGACTTTGATTTAATAAATTCACTTAAAAAATTACTCTTCCCATTGTGCTCAAGCCCTCTGTACACTCACTGTGACACGCTGGCTCAGTTTTGTGGTGTATAGATGCAAAGATACTATGATTTTAATTAGACATTTTTCTTTCTTTTGCATATCATCATTTCAGTATCCTTCTAGTAATTTCCTCCTAGCTAAATAATTTACTTCTTAGGAGAAACTCATCTCAATTTCATATTTCATAAACCCAGTCTCCTCAAAACATTTTAGTTGGCTCTCTAAAAATATTTTAACATGATGAAGAGGATTCTGATGAATTTATTATCATTATATTACGTCCCCAAATAGTTCCCAGTATTAATATGTGAGCTACAATCTACTGATCTTGAAAATGTAGTCATCAAAAGCTGTTACACTTTCCATGAAGTGTCTGTCTTTTCATAAGAGGAAGCACTGATTTAATTCAATGAATCACATAAACAAAATGATTTTGCTTTCTGAGAGGTACTGATAAAAGTACAGGTGTGTGCATTAATATGCTGGTGCCTTAGAGAAAGAGACTATTATGACAGTATGGTCTTCATATAGTATATGGTATGTGAAATCAGCTTCTTTAATGATAAGGCTTCCAAAAATTCTGATTTGTAATACATTGCCTTAACAGCAAGTAACAGGACATATTATACTTGAGGAAGAGGTCCCCCACAGCATCATTTTATAAGAATCCATATTTCAAGGAATATTTTTAAGCAGAAGCACAGACAAGACATTACAATGTGATGCCACGGATAAAGGCCATATTGAATTTCTGCTAAGTTTGCCATCAAGAAGCTAGAGCTGTTATACCCTTAGGCACCCCCTCATCTTCCAGAAATGCGGAAGTTCCTTGATAGCTTTTGATAATAGTATGTACACCATCAGGAAGCAAATAATGTATTGTGGAATTTCAGGCCTTTTTTCTGCTATACTGAATTGTTTCCTAAAAAATATAAGAAAGTCTGGTCACAAACAGTGTCTTGCCACTGATCTCTCTCACTAGAATGCATCAACATAGAAACATACTGAATTAAGACTGGATTTTGGTCTCATCTAGTGCAGTTAACTTCTCTGTATCTCACTTTATGGAATCATAATGCTAACAGCAATAAAAACAATAGCTACAATCAATAATTGAAAAAACACTCTGTGACAGGCATGGCACTTAGTGTTTAAAAAAAATTATTTCATTGAGATTGGTTGTATTATATAGTTTCACAGTTGAAACAAATTAGGCTAACAACTAAATAATACAATAATCAAACTCAGACTGACTCTCCAAAACTGCTCTTTTTCAGTCACATTAACATTGCCTATTTGCCCCCCTACTACCTAAGAATGTGATTGTGAGGGTTAAGCGTCTCTGTTGTCCCTTCTGATGGAAGTAACTTCCAGTGACATGTTTTAATGACACCGTCCATGCAACTGTCTCTTCCTGGAGTCAATACAATTTACTGAGAATTCTAAAATTACACAGCTGCCGCAGAAATGCATCTCAGACCTGTATCGCAGATACTAATAGATATCACAGATACTAATAGATATCACAGGTGTACTAATCTCTCCAGTGAGATTGCATATGAATGTGTATTGGCCACCTGTGAAGATACTGGTCAGAAAAGGAATTTCTACAGGCCATCCTTTTCTATTCCTAAATTACATCTGGGGAAACTATAGGTGCTATAGCACCACCAACCACACTCAGTGCTTCTGTCTGCAGTCTGAACATTCGGCAACTTTAAAAGGTATTGCTAAATGTTTATTTCTTAGAGATAAACTTGAGATAATTGAAAGTCTGAGGATGAATTTCCATAATTTAATAATACCTTTTATGCACAGTAATTTAAAAAGCAGAGTGAATCTGATGTGTTTGGGGAAGTCGTACTTAAAAATCTGGAGATGAATTAGGATAAGACAAACTGAATTTTTTAATAATCTAATTGAATACAAAAGCAGGAGAGTTCTATTAAGAGAACATGCACCTTCTAGAACTATCCAAGATACAGTCTGTTAACACAAGGAGGCATTGTTAGGAATACTAAATCAAATCCACCCCAAAACCTGAATCCCTACTGGATAATAAGTGAGGTTGCTGCAGCAGCATAGTCCTCTTTTCAAGGTCTCTTCGGGATAATTTAGTGCCTTGAAAATTGACAGTAATGCACTAAATGCCCTTAGGTTACAGCTTCATAGGTTAAGAAGTAGAGATTTGTAGCAATTATTATACCAGGACAATTCAGACAAAAACCCCTTCCTGAATTTATACTGATAGTTACTTTAAAAGATACAGGGACTGGCATTTGCAAGATTGTCTCTCTTTTATTTAACTTTTTTAATCATGTTGACACAGCTAAAGTGCTTCTCTTATCCACAAGTTGCTATTCAAGAAGAGGGGAAAACAGCCTTCATTAGTTATTACCAAATGAATGAAATACAGTGTCAGCTTAGGATACCTCTATAGACAAGATGTCATAGCCTGGTAATGATCCCTGTTAGTTACATTTCAATGTTGTCCTCAGTAAGTTATAAATTTCAACTACAACAAGATACAGGTTTGTTCTGAATAAAATAAACATTTTATTTCACTCACCCTGAAATTGTATACTACAGGTTTGTTTTCACACAAGCCTGACCATTATAACCTTCCAAATTAAAATGTCAAGATGGACAACATATTGTTACATTATTAAATATTCTATAATTTTCAAGCTAGATTCTCACTCTAATTGTTTATTATAAATGTGGGCATATTTCAATATTAGTCTCAGAAAAAGGAAAAGATATTAAGGCTCCAGTGAGCATATGACTAAGGAAAATTAACAAGCTATCTCAAGAATAAGTTGTTCCTTTATACCGATAATTTTATAAGTTGCACAGAGAAGCTTTTATGAACCTGATTTTTGGCTAGCTGAACAATTATTTGCCCAGAGGAAAGGATGCAAAGTAACTGCTATGAAGCATCACCTGTAAATCAGAATCTAGACAACAAACCAGATCACCTAACTCTTATCCTCACGTTTCCCCACATATGTCATGTTGCCCTTCTTAAAATGCAGAACAAACAAGTAGGCAAAATATTACTGAGACAATATTAGCTCTTATAATAAATAACAGGGAAGGTGTTATCAGTAAGAAACTCAGATTGCTTTTAAATAATACTTATCTCAAAGAAGATGAGAATCTGAAACAGAAATCATTTTGCAGAATTATAAGAACATGTCTCAGAAAAGTAAATATTTCTTGTCACTATTAAAACTTTTTATGTGATGTTTTTATCCTTAAATAATCAGGATAACCAGATTCTTGAGTTACAATTTATTTGAAGAAATTATATGTCTAGTGCCAGAGTGTCAATCATTGTAGGATTTAAAACATGGGCCAATCTGGTATACCCATTCAGCTGTACCTCCACTTCAACATCATCTACAGTGAAAATTTCCATCCCATCATTTGAGCTGAGAAGCAAATCTTACAATTTATTACAGACTTCCTGCACTGGATAATGGTCCAATTGATGGTATGTGACAGAGCAGCTTAACTTCAAGAGCAACTGCTGCTTTCTGTAACTGCTGTCACTTTTGCTTTCCTCATCTTCACCTTCATAAACAATTTCCTTGTTGCTGCTTTAATTTTGAGATGTCTTGTTTCCCTGGGAAATTGCTATGAGAGTGAATAAAAATAGGTGGCTGTAAAGTATTTTTCCCAATATAAACATTAATTTTTGCTTAACAATCATAATTGCAGAGCAGTGGCTAATACCAGACCTTTTGTTTTCATAGCCAATATGAATAAATGGTCAACGTCTCATGTGGGCAAAACTCTTCACTTTTCAAATGATGAATAATCCATTGAGGCAGGAAATAAAGCTTTTAAAATTAATTTTTATGATCTTAATATTAAATAAGAAAATTGCATGTGCTTCAGGCAATTTAGAAATATATTGTTTCAAAATTTTTTATATACAAAATTATTTTCAGGCATATTACCTTAAAATTGTGGGTGTATTTCTGTCCCAAGTGCTATTTTTAATTTTACCATATTCTATTTATTTTTATATTGATTTATAATAATGGGTTTATTTAAGTCTTAGCTTTATATCATTTTTAAAATATCAATAAAGCATTATAAACTTTGAAAGGGCTGAAATGTGTTAGTATTAAAGAAGGTCCTGTGGTTTGGCCAGGCACAGTGGCTCACGCCTGTAATTCAGCACTTTGGGAGGCCGAGGAGGGTGGATCACGAGACCATCCTGGCCAACATGGTGAAACCCCGTCTCTACTAAAAATACAAAAGCTATCTGGGTGTGGAGGCATGTGCCTGTAATCTCAGCCACTTGGGAGACTGAGGCAAAGAATCACTTGAACCCAGGAGGCAGAGGTTGCAGTGAGCCTAGATCATGCCACTGCCTTCCAGTCTGGGCTACAAGAGCAAAATTCTGTCTCAAAAAAAAAAAAAACCAAAAAAAAACAAAGTAGAGTTACTATCTTAACTGCAGAAAGTACTGAACACTATATATACTATGCTTTTTTCTATTCATGCATATAAATGATAAAATTTAATTAATCTGACTGGGTGCGGTGGCTCACGCCTGTAATCCCAGCATTTTGGGAGGCTGAGGTCGGCAGATCACTTGAGGCCAGGAGCTTGAGACCAGCCTGGTCAACATGGTGAAACCCCGTCTCTACTAAAAATACAAAAAAATTAGTCATGTATGGTGGCGGGCACCTGTAATCCCAGCTACTGGGGAGGCTGAGGCAGGAGAATCTCTTGAACCCAAGAGGTGGAGGTTGCAGTGAGCCAAGACTCTGCCACTGCACTCCAGCCTGGATGACAGAGTGAGGACTCTGTTAAAAAAAAAATGTTCCTGTGGTTCAATATTAATATTCTTGTTTCTTTTTTGGATTTTATTTTCCTATTAGTTTCCTTTGAATTCCCATTCTCTTAGGAGCATGCTAGCTCAAAGCAGTGCTTCCTGTTCCTGTTCATTTCAAGGCCAGCATCAAACAATAGTTCCCACATAAGTTTTTCTTTCAGTATCAATCACATATTTAGTATCCAAACGTAAAACCAGATGATTTAGCTGAACTTTGTCCTGCATATTTTGATTATAAATGAATATAATGTCAGTTTCCAAATATTGCATCTTATTTAAAAAAAATCAAAATAGAGTCAGCTCTCACCAATCTAGCCCAACAGAGGACAGTAGCAAGGATAAACCGGAAGATGAAGCACTTTGAAACTGATGAGAACAAAGATAAAATATACCAGAATCTCTGGGACACAGCTATTAAAGCAATGTTAAAAGGAACTTTTATAGCCCTAAACACCCACACCAAGAAGTTAGAAACAGCTCAAATTAGCAACATAATATCACGCCTAGAGAACTAGAAAAACAAGAGCAAACCAACCCCAAAGCTAGCAGAGGACAAAAGATAACTAAAAAATCAGAGATGAACTGAATGAATTTGAGACACATGAAAACATACAAAAGATCAATGAATTCAGAAGTTTGTTTTTTGAAAGAACAAATAAGTGTGAAGGATTACTAGCTAGACTCAAAGAAAAAAAGAGGGAAGATACAAATAAGCACAGTCAGAAATGAAAAAGGGGGCTTTAATACCAACACAGAGACATACAAAAAACCCTCAGAGACTATTATGAACACCTGAATGCACAGAAAATAGAAAATCTAGACGAAATTGATACATTCCTGGCAACATAAAACCTCTGAAGATTGAACCAGGAATAAATTGCAACATGAAAAGCCCAATAAGGAGTTCTAAAGTTGAATCAGTAATGAAAAGCCTAACAAACAGAAAAATCCCAGGACCAGGTGGATTCACAGATGAATTATAACATACGTATAGAGAAGAGCTTGTATCATTCCTTCTGAAATGATTCCAAAAAATTATAGAATGATACTAGCATTATTCTGAACCAAAGCCTGACAGAAACACAACCAAAAAAATAAATTTCAGGCAAGTATAATTGATGAACCTAGATACAAAAATCCTCAAAAAAAAAAAAAAAAAAAAAACTAGCAAACTGAATCCATTAGCACATCAAAAACTAATTTACCACAATCAAGTAGGCTTTATTCCTGTGGTGCAAAGTTGTTTCAACATATGGAAATAAAAAATATGATTCATCATATAAACAGAACATCAAAAATGACATGATCATCTGAATAGATGCAGAAAAGGCTCTTGATATAATTAAACATCCCTTCATATTAAAAAATCCTCAACAAACTAGGCATTGAAGGAACTTACATAAAAATAATAAGAGCCATCTATGACAAACCCACAGCCAACATCATACTAATTGAGCAAAAGCTAAAAGTGTTCCTCTTGAAAACCAGAACCAGACAAGGATGCTCACTCTAACTTCACTCTAACTGCTCCCGTTTAACACAGTACTGGAAGTCCTAGCCAGAGCAATTAGGCAAAAAAAAAAAAAAAAAAAAAAAAGAAAAGAAAATGTATCCAAATAAAAAAAGAGGATAATGTTTTTAAAAGATAATGTTAAAAAAGAATGTATGTTTATCCAAACATTAATTCAAACTATTTATGTTCACAGATCATATGATTCCATACCTAGAAAGCCCCATAGTCTCTGCCCAAAAGTTCCCATATCTGGTAAATATCTTCAGCAAAGTTTCAGGACACAAAATCAGTGTACAAAAATAAGTAGCATTTCTATATACCAGCAAGATCTAAGCTGAGAGCCACATCAAGAATGCAATAACATTCACAATAACCACAAAAAGAATGAAATATCTAGGAATACAGGTAATCAGAGGTGAAAGATCGCCAAAACAAGAATTAAGAAACACTGCTGAATGAAATCAGAGATGACACAGCACATAGAAAGCATTCCATAGTGCCCAAAGCAATTTACACATTCAATGCTATTCCAATCAAACAACTAATGACATATTTCACAGAATTAGAAAACAAAAAACTGCTCTAAAACTTATGTGGAATCAAAAAAGAGTCTAAATGACTAAAGCAATCCTAGGCAAAAATAATAAAGCTGGAGGCATCACATTATCCAACTTCAAACTACACTACAAGGATATAATAATCAAAACAGCATAGTACTGATACAAAAACAGACACAGAGACTAATGGAAAAGAATAAAGAGCCCAGAAATAAAGCCACACACTTATAGCCATCTGATCTTCAACAAAGTTGACAAAAACAAGCAATGAGGAAAGACTCCCTATTCAATAGAAGGTGTTGAGATAATTGAATAGCCATATCCAGAAGATTGAAACAGGACCCCTTCCTTATACCATACACAAAAATTAACCCAAGTTGCGTTAAATGCTTAAATGTAAAACCTAAAACTACAAAAGCTCTGGAAGATAACCTAAGAAATGCCACTCAGGACGTAGGCCTTGGCAAAAATTTAATGATGAAGACACCGAAAGCAATTGCCAAAAAAAAAAAAAAAAAAGACAAGTGTGACTTAATTAAACTAAAGTGCATCTGCACAGCAAAAAAACAAAAACAAAAAAAAAGAAAAAAGAAAAAAGAAAAAAAACAACTATCAGCAGAATAAACAGACAACATGCAGAATGGGAGAAAATTTATTCAAATGATACATCCAACAAAGGCCTAATATCCAGAATGTATAAGGAACTTAAACAAATTAACAAACAAAAAAACAACATACTAATTGAGCAAAAGCTGAAAGCATTCCCCATTCAAAAGTGGCCAAAGGACATGAACAGATACTTTTCAAAATAAGTCATACACTTGGCCAACAAGCATATGAAAAATTGCTCAACATTACTAATCATTAGAGAACTGCAAATCAAAACCACAATTAGTGAAAAAGGCTATTATTAAAAACCATAAAATAACAGATGCTTGAAAGGCTGCAGAGAAAAGAGAATGCATATACACTGCTCATGGCAGTGTAAATTCATTCAGCCACTGTGAAAAGCAGTTTGGTGATTTCCCAAAGAACTTAAAGGAAAACTGCCATTTGACCCAGCAATCCCATTACTGGGTATATACACAAAGGAATATAAATCCTCCTACCAGAAAAACATATGCAAACATATTTTCATCACAGCACTATTTACAATAACCAAGACATGGAATCAACCTAAATGTTCATCCATGGTTGACTGGATAAAGAAAATGTGGTACATATATGGTTGACTGGATAAGGAAAATGTGGTACATATACATGATCCAATACTATGTAGCCATAACAACAAGTGAGATTGTGACCTTTGCAGCAGTATGAATGGAGCTAGAGGTCATTATCCTAAGTGAACTAATGCAGGAACAGGAAACCAAATACCACATGTTCTCACTTACAAGTAAGAGCTAAATATTAAGGATGCATGGACACAAAGAAGGGAACAATAGACACCAGGACCTACTTAAGGGAGGAGAGTGAGAGAAGAGTGAGGATCGAAAAACTATCAGGTACTATGCTTACTATGTGAGTCATGAAATAATCTGTACACCATACTCCTGCAACACAAAATTTATCTATATAACAAATCTGTACATACATCCCTGAACTCAAAATAAAAGTTTTTAAAAACATTCATAATATGAAGACAGATATTGTGCTCTGGAATGCATTTTTAAGAAGTCTTTTTTTTTTTTTTTTTTGATCTTGGGTGTTTGCTGATTTGGAGCATTTGATTCAAATGAAGACATTCAGAGACACCATGAAGGTTTAGCTCTGAAACTGTGGAAAAGCTGTTCTGAACCTGGGTGCCCAGAACTCTCCCTCATCCCACCTCATGGTCATACTCTTCAATTTTCTTATTTTTAATTTGACTTTTATTTTAAGTTTAGGGGTACATGTGCAGGATTGTTACATAAATAAACATGTGCCATCGTGGTTTACTGCGCAGATTATCCCATCACCCAGGTATTAAGCCCGGCATCCATTAGCTGTTCTTCCTGATGCTCTTCCCCAACCCTACAGGTGCCCAGTGTGTGTTGTTACCCACCATGTGTCCACGTGTTCTCATTGTTCAGCTCCCACTTATAAGTGAGAACATGCTGTGTTTGGTTTTCTACTCCTGCGTTAGTTTGCTGAGGATAATGGCTTCCAACTCCATCTATGTCTCTGCAAAGCACAAGATCCTGTTCCTTTTTATGGCTGCATGGTATGCAATGAGGTATATGTACCACATTTTCTTTATCTAGTTTATCATTGATGGGCGTTTAGGTTGATTCTATGACTTTGCTATTGTAAATAGTGCTTCAATGAACATATGCATGCATGTAACTTTATAATAGAATGATTTATATTTCTTTAGGTATATATCCAGTCATGAGATTGCTGAGTCAAATGGTATTTCTGCCTCTAGGTCTTTGGGAATTGTCACATTGACTTCCACAGTGGTTGAACTAGTTTATACTCTCACAGGCAGTGTAAACGCGTTCCTTTTTCTCCACAACCTCACCAGCATCTGTTGTTTTTTGACATTTTAGTAATAGCCATTCTGACTGGTATGAGATGGTATATCATTGTGGTTTTGATTTGAGGATCTCTAATGATCAGTAATGTTGAACTTTTTTTCATATGTTTATTGGCCACATGTATGTCTTCTTTTGAGAAGTGTCTGTTCATGTCCTTTGGCCAATTTTTTTATGAAGGTGTTTGTTTTTTTTCTTGTAAATTTAAGTTCCTTGTAGATTCTAGATATTAGACTTTTGTCAGGTGGCTACATTAAGAAATTTTCTCCCTTTCTGTAGGCTATCTGTTCACTCGGATGATAGTTTTTGTTTGTTTGTTTGTTTGTTTGTTTGTTTTTGCTGTGCAGAAGCTCTTTAATTAGATCTCATTTGTCAATTATTGCTTTTGTTGCAATTGCTTTTGATGATTTATCATGACATTTTTGCCTCTGCTATGCCCTGAATGGTATTGCCTAGATCTTCTTCTAGGCTTTTTATAGTTGTGGGATTTACATTTAAGTCTCTAATCCATCTTAACTTTTATATATGTTGTAAGGAAGGAGTCCAGTTATAATTTTGTGCATATGGTTAGCCAGTTCTCCCAGCATTATTAATTAAATAGGGAATCCTTTTTCCATTGCTTGTTTTTGTCAGGTTTGTCAAAGATCTGATGCTTGTATGTGTGCAGTCTCATTTCTGAGTTCTCTATTCTGTTCCATTGGTCTATGTGTCTGTTCTTGTACCATGATGTTTTGGTTAATGCAGCCTTGTAGCACTGTTTGAAGTTAGGTAGTGTGATGCCTCCTGCTTTGTTCTTTTTGCTATGGATTAACTTGGCTATTTGGGCTCATTTTTAGTTCGATATGAATTTTAAAATAGTTTTTTTTTTAATTCCGTGAAGAATGTCAATGGTAGTTTAATGGGAATAGCATTGAATCTATAAATTACTTTGAACGGTATGGCCATTTTTACAATATTGATTCTTCCTATCCATGAGCCTGGAATGTTTTTCCATTTGTTTGTGTCTTCTCTGATTTCCTTGAGCGGTGGTTTGTAGTTGTCCTTGAAGTGTTCCCTCACTTCCTTTGTTAGCTGTATTTCTAAGTATTTTATTCTTTTTGTAGCAATTATGAATGATAGTTCATTCATGATTTTGCTCTCTGCTTGCCTTTTGTTGGTGTATAAGGATGCTAGCGATTTTTGCACATTGATTTTATATCTTGAGACTTTGCTGAAGTTGCTTATCAGCTTAAGAAGCTTTTGGGCTGAGACTATGGGGTTTTCTAGATATAGGATGATGTCATCTGCAAACAAAGATAATTTGACTTCCTCACTCCCTATTTGAATACTCTTTATCTCTTTCTCTTGCCTGATTGCCCTGGCCAGAACTTCCAATAATATGTTGAATAGAAGTGGTGACAGGGCATCCTTGCCTTGTGCCAGTTTTCAAGGGGAATGTGTCCAGCTTTTGCTCATTCAGTATGATATTGGCTGTGGGTTTGTCATATATGGTTCTTATTATTTTGAGGTCTGTTCCTTCAATTCCTAATGTATCTAGAGTTTTAAACATAAAAGGATGTTGAATTTTATCGAAGGCCTTTTCTGCATTTATTGAAATGATCGTGTGGTTTTTGTCTGTTTATGTGATGAATTACATTTATTGACTCGTGTATGTTGAGCCAGCCTTGAATCCCAGGGATGAAGCCAGCATGATCATGGTGGATAAGCTTTTTGATGTGCTGCTGGCTTTCGTTTGCCAATATTTTACTGAGGATTTCTGCATTGATGTTCATCAAGGATATTGGTCTAAAGTATTCTTTCTTTTGTTGTATCTCTGCCAGGTTTTGGTATCAGGATAATGCTAGCCTCAGAGAATTAGTTAGGGAGGAGTCCCTCCTCTTCAGTTTTTCAGAATAATTTTAGTAGGAATGAAACCAGCTCTTCTTTGTACTTCTGGTAGAATTCCACTGTGAATCTGTATGGTCCTGTGATTTATTTTTTAGTAGGTAGGTTATTTATTACTGCCTCAATTTTAGAACATGTTATTGGTCTGGTCAATGATTCAATTTCTTCCTTTCAGTCTTGGGAGAGTGTATGTGTCCACAAATTTATCCATTTCTTCTAGATTTTCTAGTTTATGTGTATAGAGGGATTTACAATATTTTCTGGTAGTTGTTTTTATTTCTGTGGGATCAGTGGTGATATCCCCCTTATCATTTCTGATTGTGTTCATTTGATTATTCTTTCTATTCTTCTTTATGAGTCTAGATAGTAGTCTATCTACTTTATTATTTTTTTCAAAAAAATAGCTCCTGGATTTGTTGATTTTTTTAAAAGCGTTTTTCACATCTCTGTCTCCTTCAGTTATGCTCTGATCTTGGTTAATTATTGTCTTCTGTTAGCTTTGGGGATTGCTTGCTCTTGATTCTCTAGTTATTTCAGTTGAGATGATAGGTTGTTAACTTGAGATCTTTCTAGATTTTTGATGTTGAGATTTAGTGCTATAAATTTCCCTCTTAACACTGCTTTAGCTGCATCCCAGAGATTCTGGTATGTTGTCTCTTTGTTCTCATTACTTTAAAAAAACTTATTGATTTCTGACTTAATTTCATTATTTACCCAAGAGTCATTCAGGAGCAAATAGCTGTGTGCTTTTGAGTGGATGTCTTAATCTTGCATACTCTTCAGTTTTCTGCTTAAATCTTCCCTCCATCTCTCAGACTTATATGTTATTACAAGTGTCTGACATTGCCTCTCACACTTACAGGATTTCCTTTTAGATCATCCCTGATGTTAAACAAAGGGTTTTGCTGTGTTTCCTAAAAGAAAACCAACTGGAAATATATTTACTCCTCCATTATATTTTATACCTTTCTAGATTAAGTGTAGAAATTGATGTTGTGGAAAGGGTAAAAAAGGTAGGAGAAATCAGTTGATTTTTATAGTTTCGTGTCATATTTTCACCAAATTAAACTCTGTTAAGTAGAGATATCTACAATAGAATTCAGATCCCTGAAATATGATCTTTTAAAAGATAAATTGTTTTAACAGTCATATGAAAAAAGTAGAATGCAATAACTTTAAAACATTTTACATCTTGATTGCAATGGAAGTCTGATTTTATTCTGTGTGTCAAAGAATGTCTTAGCTTAGTATCAATTTTAAGAAAAGTTGTATAAGCCCCTATAAAATACAATATCTGCACTAGAAATGTGTGTTACACAGCAAATATAGTGAAGAGCTGGATTTGGAATTGAAAAAAAAAATACATATTTACAGTACAGTGACCAGAACTAGCATTAGAAATGCCAGAGAAAAATTGTAATTACTTCTTGCCTTCCTTTTGGAGGTAAAGGTCTCTCTCTTTCTTTCTTTCTTTCTTCTTTCTTTCTTTCATTCATTCTTTCTTTTTTTATGAGACATCATCTCTTTAAGTCACCCAGGCTGGAGTGCACTGGCATAATCATGGCTCACTGCAGCCTCGACCTCCCAGGCTCAAGTGGTCGTCCCACCTTAGCCTTGTGAGTAGTTGGGACTATAGTCACATACCACCACACTAGGATACCTTTTTTTTTTTTTTTTTTTTTGTAGAGACAGGGTTTTACTATGATGCCCAGCCTGGTTTTGAACTCCTGGGCTCAAGCAATCTGACTGCCTCGGCCTCCCACCATGCTAAGATTACAGGCATGAGCCACCGTACCCAGTCAGGAAGGTATTTCTAAAGTCCTTTATTAAAGGTGATGGTAGTAACTATCCACTGTTTTTTTGTTTTTTTTTTTTTCAAACTCCAGATGAGGAGAGGCACTTCCATCTATTTTAGTCTTCCTATTTTTTTAATCCACCACCTTTATCTAGGCAAAAATTACTACAAGTGAAAAATTATATTAATATAGAATCAGATATTCAATCATTTTATATTTATTTACATAAAGAAACATAAATCTAAATTAACTTAGATATCATATTGATGAGTAAATTTTTCCTATAGGTAAATGGTCATAGTTACTGAGACAAACATCACAGAACTTCTATATTCTGATTTTCAAAAAGTTGTTCAGTTTATTGAAATGATTTTGACTTTAATATGAAAAGAACTACAATGAATATTAGTTGATATTTAATAGATTTAGGAAGAATTTTCAAGGTGGTAAACAAATAAAACTGTCTGCGGATTTCTTTTTAGGACGCTTTTAAATAATCAGCTGGAAATATTATGCTGATCTGCAGCCGCTCAAGTTATCTAAGAATATACTCAAGATATTTCAAGTTTTGTTATAATAGATATTATAATATTATAATATTATAATATACTGTTGATGACAATATGAATGAAACAACAAATAGGCTGCTATTCAAGTTAAGGGATTTATCTTTCATTGGGTATTTTACAATCACTACTTCATGTTATATTTTTTATTTCTTATTGTGGAGTTGTATTTTATGTATGAGTGTGATCTTTGCTTTTAAACATTTTATGAGTTTTAAGTGCTACATATTGTAGAAGTATGCAATACATTTATAGTTTGCAACAGCCTCATAATTGCTACATTATTGTATTGATTTAAAGGTAGGTTAAGTCAACTTAAAGCTATATGTTAGTTACTAATATATAGTAAAATTAACTATATGGCCAATATAATAACCTGACTTAAAGTTTCATTCTTTTGTCATGATTTTTTTTTAGTTTTAAGAAACTGGGCAGCAGAATATTTAAGGAAAAGAAGCCCCTATTATAAAAATGTAGCAAAATTATTTTAAACTATCAATTGTTTGTATAATTAGGGATACTCCAGCACATTTTGTTAATGAACCACAGGTGTCTGTTAAGAGTGAGTAATCTGGCATAACATATGTGATACCATGTGGTCCCAATAGGATAGCATCGTTGTTATAGAAACTTTGCAAGTTACCATTATACTTTTGCTAATTTTGTTGCTGGACTAATGTTACTCAACTAAAGACAAGCAAAACTACCTCTTTTAAGGAGCATACATTCATAAAATCACTTTAAAAGAGAGAAAAGGAAAAGTCACAGGGTATGATTAATTGTGGATATCTGAAATAACGGTCAAATTATAGAATTCCCATTAAAGTGTATGCAAATCCTTGCTATAGTTTACAGTTTAAGCCAACAGAGAGTGTGTCTTTACCAAATAACAAAACAATAAATAAATAATTGCAAAAAGTTAATAAACTGTTCATCAAAAAGTTTGACTTTTCTCTCACTTAACAAATTAAGCAGGCATTTTGTCATCATGCAGATATTATTCTTAAATGATCAATATCTGCATGAAACAAATAAGGGCATAGCAACATTTACGACAGCATATCAGACAAAATTTTGATTACAAATAATTTAAGACAGCTGTTTAGTCCTATATTAGCCTTGTTTCTAATGTAAACAAGATCATTCTCTATTGTAATGGTTATTTGAAACAAAGCCATACTATTAAGAAAAGTTTCAGTGATAGATCAGAAAATAACTAGTTTCCATTTTCATAATTACTAAATATATATAAACACATCAATCAGAAGTTTATACTTCAAAGGATTTATCATTTGATTGTAGAATGCTGGTATCTAATTCCTAATGAATATCAACCACTAAAGCTATATATTTTAAAAATAGTCACTTACATTTATCTTATACTCTGTACTTTAAAAGTTAATTTCAATTCAACAAACATTGATTGCATGTGCCAAGCATGTTGCTATTTGTGAGGAATACAATATTGAATAAAGAATAATCTACCCTCCTGAAGCTTCCAGTCTAGTGGGGTATATGTAAAAAAAAAATTCTTACAAAGTTATTTCAGTACAGTGTGATGAATGTTATGATAGAAACAAAGAGTCTCTCATTGACCAAACTTTGGTCAGGCTCCTTTAAGACCTTTCTTGATTAGGCCTTGTTCTTCAGCCTTGTCTTAAGAACTGCTTAGCCCAGTTTTAGTCAGAATCTCTTACCTTCCATATCACCTGACCTGAAAGATTCCACAAGAATACTGTTAGGTCAATTTAGGCAGAATTTCCCCTACACTTAGTAATTTTTCCATCCACCAAGCTTCACCCAACAACTTCCTCCTTGGCTATAAATCTCCACTTGCCCTTGCTGTATTTGAAACTGAGCTCAAGTGCCATACTGAAGCCTCTTTTCTCCATCTACAATAGTTCCTGAATAAAATCTGCTTTACCACTTTAACTATTGCCCAAATCTGCTTTTCTTTAACACAAATATCTCAGAGTGCTATGGAACACAAAGGTAAGAGTCTCAAGTAATTTGGCCAAATATGTCTTCTTAGAGGAGTCAACTTCAAAATTAGAGCTAATGACTGAGAACTAACTAGGCAAAGGGATATGGGAATGGGTGGAAAAGCATTCTAGGTGAGGGTACTGCAAAGGCATGTAAGAAGAGTTTATAGTGCATTCTTAGAAGTTAGTTACTTAACATACCTGCGGTATAACATTTTAGGGACTCATAGTGAAAGATAAATGTAGCTAGATAAGCAGTATGTTTACATATCTGGGCTTGTCCCCAGAAAGGTGGAATTACTTTGGTTTCTACATTAACATAATTTTGGTTTTGCCATATTCCATAATCCATTGTCGTCCTCATGGAATGCTTTCTGTGTGGGCATATTTAATAGTAGTCCCAAAGTCAAAGAATATACATCTCTGAAAAAAGGCTTGTGCAACCACCTTCACCTATTTACTAGCTGCTAGGAATGATACACCTGTAGTTTACTAATTGATGCTCTAAAACCTAAGAGTTACTTTTCCTCCAATGATTAATTCCTAGATGGCCTATATAAAAGAGTTGTTTAATCTTCATCACCACATTTTTCCTTGCATAATTATTATATAATTAAACAACTTCCATTTTAAGCCTGTTTAGAAAACACTAAACCTCAGCTAAGGCTCAACTTCTGGGATTTTGAAGAGACTACCTGTTCTTAAATGTAGGAGAAAGAAATTGATATTTTGTCTCTTATACTTCCTAATTTTTAAAGATTCTCATATAAATTGCATGTTTTCAAGCATTAAAACCAATCTCATCTATATCATAGACAATGAACCCCTACTTTATATATACTACAGAATTATATTGCCAAAGAAAGTTATTTCAGTCAATACATATTTACCAATTAACTGATAAAATCTAAAATGGTAGTCAATGCAGTAGGTACTGGGAAAATGAAAAAAATTCTAGGAATAATAAATATGTTCAGTATTTTGATCGTGGTTGATATGATTTGGTTCTGTCTCCCCACACAAATCTCATTTTGAATTGTATTCCCATAATTTCCATGTGTTGTGGGAGGGACTCGGTGGAAGATAATTTGAATCATGTGGGCAGTTTCCCCCATGCCGCTCTTGTGGTAGTGAGTAAGTCTCACGAGATCTGATGGCTTTAT
Source organism: Homo sapiens (assembly GCF_000001405.40). Classification (NCBI taxonomy): domain Eukaryota; kingdom Metazoa; phylum Chordata; class Mammalia; order Primates; family Hominidae; genus Homo; species Homo sapiens. The sequence continues at coordinate 5,615,010 of NC_000024.10, read as the reverse complement.
CAAGGGTTTCCGCGTTTGCATCTTCCTCATTTTTTCTTGCTGCTGCCATGTAAGAAGTGCCTTTTGCCTTCCACCATGATTCTGAGGCCTCCTCAGCCATGTGAAACTGAAAGTCTAATTAAACCTCTTTTTATTCCCAGTCTCGGGTATATCTTTATCAGCAGCATGAAAATGGAATAATACAGTGGTGATAATTTCGAATGTTTACTGATATGCCGAATTGCATACTTTACATATGGACAATTTGTAATTTGTCAGTTATTTCTCAATAAACTCGTTAAAATACATAATAAATTTATCTTAGCTGGTATGACAGCAGTCCATATAGGGTATAGTGATGTCACAGAGGAGAGAGTGCTCAATTCTACCTCAAGGAGGAGAAATGGAAAGCATTACAAAAAAAAATTGACTGCGACTGTGTGTTGAAAGATGAGAAGTGTTTTCAAAGTGGACATTCAAACAGAATAGCATATAAGCAGGCACATGAAGCCGCATGAATCATTAAGTGAACCTAAGATTATCTGGATTGTTTAAAGCATTGGGATTGAGGGGCAACTGGAGAAATCAGTATGGAAAGAGATGGTATGCAGATTTATGGAGGTTTTATTATGCTAAGCAATTCGCTTGAGTTGATGAAAGAGAATAGTAAATAAAGGATTGTATCAGTATATAAATATTTTATGTAAATATTCAAGGAACCTCACTATTAAAAATCTGGTATGCCATACAGAGGAAAGAACTCTTGGGTATGGCAAATCAGGGTTTAAATATCAATTCTTCCATGTAAAACTGTATGACTACAACCAAGTTTCCTAATATCTTTGAGCCTCAGTTTACATCTTATCACATGAATTTACTTGGCTATAGGAAAATACAATCCCAATGTAGTGATACTTTTGTATCTAGCGCAGAGTCGTCGACAGTAGAATGGCACCCTGTAGTCTCTATAAACAACTGTAAAATGAGCACCCAGCAATACAAATGTTTATGTTCTGTTGTGCTGACAAATACTGGTGAACTATTCATAAATCTTATGCATTTACTGATACTTCAGGTCAAAGAGCTTTCACAACTATTCAGCCCCTGATGCCTTATTGCCTTATTTCAAAAAGAGGACATAGCTGTAGATCAATGCATTTTCTTGAATGTTTTATGTAAATTCAGTATTGTTAGTGAGAAATAATGGATTACAGTGGTGCCGGCCTAAAAAATCCACTGGCAAAAACAAGGCTGATTAAAAAAAAAGAAAATCAAATATCAGCCTCATTCCTGAAACAAAGTGGAAGGTCAACTGTTTGTACATATAGCATGACAGCCCCGCTGACATACACTTCATTTTTCATAGAATAAACTGACAGTGATATTTAATACTCCTAACAGGGGCTAGATGTTCTGATCTGTTAAACTGCTTGGCAGTTCATGCAGAGAAGACAAAAGTGCACTGACATCCTATTGAGAGGCCAGGACAAAATATATCTCTTGAATCACAAATAACATGAAAAGGACTTAGGACTGACCATATATGCATGACTTTCATGTTATTTTAAAATAAAATGTTCTAAACAACTTATACCTCTTTACTATTTCATGTCCAATAATTGCACTCTGATTTTGTTTAAGGAAATTTTTGAATTGCCTTTGAGTTCAGGGTGAGGATCTCTTAACTACCTTTAGAATAGATAATATGCAAAATAGCGAAATGGTTCTTTTGGTATGGGTGTTTAACTCTTCAGCAGATGCTTCTCATTTTCCTTTGCATTACATCACATAGCCTTGTGAAGGGAAAGAAAATAACCTTAAAAAAAAAACCTGTTGGCAAGAGAGGGATATAAAAATTAAGGGAGCAGCCGGGTGTGGTGGTTCACACCTGTAATCCTAGCACTTTGGGAGGCCGAGGTGGTTGGATTGCCTGAGCTCAGGAGTTCGAGACCAGCCTGGGCAACACGGTGAAACCCCGTCACTACTAAAATACAAAAAATTAGCCTGGCATGGTGGTGTGCACCTGTAATCCCAGCTACTCAGGAGGCTGAGACAGGAGAATTGCTTGAACCTGAGAGGAGGAAGTTGCAGTGAGCCGAGATCATGCCATTGCACTCCAGCCTGGGTGACAGAGTGAGACTCCATCTCAAAAAAAAAAAAAAAAGTTAAGGGGGCAAACATTATGTAAGTTTTACTACTGAAGTTCTCTCGTTTCTGCGTTCTTCAGAGTCTAAGTCTTGAATGAAAGCTTCTCATAACTTTATTCCTAAAAATGGGTTTTGACCTAGAAATGAACACATTACTACCTTATTGACTTCTAAGGAGACCAAAAAAAAAAAAGATGTATGAACTGCCCTGTTCATTACATTAGAATTCCAATGCTATAACTTACTGATAACAACTTTTAAGAAAATTGTACTTTATTGTAGTCAGAGAACTCAACATGAGATCTACCTTCTTAAATTTTATGTGTCCAATATGGTATTGTTGACTATAGACACAATGTACAGCAGATCTCTAGGGCTTATTCATCTTGCTTTGAAGTTCTTACTAAAATGAAACTTTACAATTTAAAAAAAAAAATTACCATTGCAGTAAAAGTAAATTATCTCACTGAACTTTACTGTAGTCTCATACAGTGTGATCTGTATTTATGACCTTTTAGTATATGCAATGTGCATCCATATAGCTGTGTTTTAAATAGATACTTACAAAATATATGTTTGTTTTACATAATTCAGAGTTTGAAAAAAGAAAACATTATAATTATATTATTTGCTCACATTTAGAAAAATCATACAATATTCAACATTAAATAACGGGCTCTCGCTAGGAGGAGGAGCCAAGATGGCCGAATAGGAACAGCTCCGGTCTACAGCTCCCAGCGTGAGCGACGCAGAAGACGGGTGATTTCTGCATTTCCATCTGAGGTACCGGGTTCATCTCACTAGGGAGTGCCAGACAGTGGGCGCAGGCCAGTGTGTGTGCGCACCGTGCGCGAGCCGAAGCAGGGCGAGGCATTGCCTCACCTGGGAAGCGCAAGGGGTCAGGGAGTTCCCTTTCCGAGTCAAAGAAAGGGGTGACGGACGCACCTGGAAAATCGGGTCACTCCCACCCGAATATTGCGCTTTTCAGACCGGCTTAAGAAACGGCGCACCACGAGACTATATCCCACACCTGGCTCAGAGGGTCCTACGCCCACGGAATCTCGCTGATTGCTAGCACAGCAGTCTGAGATCAAACTGCAAGGCGGCAATGAGGCTGGGGGAGGGGCGCCCGCCATTGCCCAGGCTTGCTTAGGTAAACAAAGCAGCCGGGAAGCTCGAACTGGGTGGAGCCCACCACAGCTCAAGGAGGCTGCCTGCCTCTGTAGGCTCCACCTCTGGGGGCAGGGCACAGACAAACAAAAAGACAGCAGTAACCTCTGCAGACTTAAGTGTCCCTGTCTGACAGCTTTGAAGAGAGCAGTGGTTCTCCCAGCACGCAGCTGGAGATCTGAGAACGGGCAGACTGCCTCCTCAAGTGGGTCCCTGACCCCTGACCCCCGAGCAGCCTAACTGGGAGGCACCCCCCAGCAGGGGCACACTGACACCTCACACGGCAGGGTATTCCAACAGACCTGCAGCTGAGGGTCCTGTCTGTTAGAAGGAAAACTAACAACCAGAAAGGACATCTACACCGAAAACCCATCTGTACATCACCATCATCAAAGACCAAAAGTAGATAAAACCACAAAGATGGGGAAAAAACAGAACAGAAAAACTGGAAACTCTAAAACGCAGAGCACCTCTCCTCCTCCAAAGGAACGCAGTTCCTCACCAGCAACAGAACAAATCTGGATGGAGAATGATTTTGACGAGCTGAGAGAAGAAGGCTTCAGACGATCAAATTACTCTGAGCTACGGGAGGACATTCAAACCAAAGGCAAAGAAGTTGAAAACTTTGAAAAAAATTTAGAAGAATGTATAACTAGAATAACCAATACAGAGAAGTGCTTAAAGGAGCTGATGGAGCTGAAAACCAAGGTTCGAGAACTACGTGAAGAATGCAGAAGCCTCAGGAGCCGATGCGATCAACTGGAAGAAAGGGTATCAGCAATGGAAGATGAAATGAATGAAATGAAGCGAGAAGGGAAGTTTAGAGAAAAAAGAATAAAAAGAAATGAGCAAAGCCTCCAAGAAATATGGGACTATGTGAAAAGACCAAATCTACGTCTGATTGGTGTACCTGAAAGTGATGTGGAGAATGGAACCAAGTTGGAAAACACTCTGCAGGATATTATCCAGGAGAACTTCCCCAATCTAGCAAGGCAGGCCAACGTTCAGATTCAGGAAATACAGAGAACGCCACAAAGATACTCCTCGAGAAGAGCAACTCCAAGACACATAATTGTCAGATTCACCAAAGTTGAAATGAAGGAAAAAATGTTAAGGGCAGCCAGAGAGAAAGGTCGGGTTACCCTCAAAGGAAAGCCCATCAGACTAACAGCGGATCTCTCGGCAGAAACCCTACAAGCCAGAAGAGAGTGGGGGCCAATATTCAACATTCTTAAAGAAAAGAATTTTCAACCCAGAATTTCATATCCAGCCAAACTAAGCTTCATAAGTGAAGGAGAAATAAAATACTTTATAGACAAGCAAATGCTGAGAGATTTTGTCACCACCAGGCCTGCCCTAAAAGAGCTCCTGAAGGAAGCGCTAAACATGGAAAGGAACAACCGGTACCAGCCGCTGCAAAATCATGCCAAAATGTAAAGACCATCGAGAATAGGAAGAAACTGCATCAACTAATGAGCAAAATCACCAGCTAACATCATAATGACAGGATCAAATTCACACATAACAATATTAACTTTAAATATAAATGGACTAAATTCTGCAATTAAAAGACACAGACTAGCAAGTTGGATAAAGAGTCAAGACCCATCAGTGTGCTGTATTCAGGAAACCCATCTCACGTGCAGAGACACACATAGGCTCAAAATAAAAGGATGGAGGAAGATCTACCAAGCAAATGGAAAACAAAAAAAGGCAGGGGTTGCAATCCTAGTCTCTGATAAAACAGACTTCAAACCAACAAAGATCAAAAGAGACAAAGAAGGCCATTACATAATGGTAAAGGGATCAATTCAACAAGAGGAGCTAACTATCCTAAATATTTATGCACCCAATACAGGAGCACCCAGATTCATAAAGCAAGTCCTCAGTGACCTACAAAGAGACTTAGACTCCCACACATTAATAATGGGAGACTTTAACACCCCACTGTCAACATTAGACAGATCAACGAGACAGAAAGTCAACAAGGATACCCAGGAATTGAACTCAGCTCTGCACCAAGCAGACCTAATAGACATCTACAGAACTCTCCACCCCAAATCAACAGAATATACATTTTTTTCAGCACCACACCACACCTATTCCAAAATTGACCACAGAGTGGGAAGTAAAGCTCTCCTCAGCAAATGTAAAAGAACAGAAATTATAACAAACTATCTCTCAGACCACAGTGCAATCAAACTAGAACTCAGGATTAAGAATCTCACTCAAAGCCACTCAACTACATGGAAACTGAACAACCTGCTCCTGAATGACTACTGGGTACATAACGAAATGAAGGCAGAAATAAAGATGTTCTTTGAAACCAACGAGAACAATGACACCACATACCAGAATCTCTGGGACGCATTCAAAGCAGTGTGTAGAGGGAAATTTATAGCACTAAATGCCTACAAGAGAAAGCAGGAAAGATCCAAAATTGACACCCTAACATCACAATTAAAAGAACTAGAAAAGCAAGAGCAAACACATTCAAAAGCTAGCAGAAGGCAAGAAATAACTAAAATCAGAGCAGAACTGAAGGAAATAGAGACACAAAAAACCCTTCAAAAAATCAATGAATCCAGGAGCTGGTTTTTTGAAAGGATCAACAAAATTGATAGACCGCTAGCAAGACTAATAAAGAAAAAAAGAGAGAAGAATCAAATAGACACAATAAAAATTGATAAAGGGGATATCACCACCGATCCCACAGAAATACAAACTACCATCAGAGAATACTACAAACACCTCTACGCAAATAAACTAGAAAATCTAGAAGAAATGGATACATTCCTCGACACATACACTCTCCCAAGACTAAACCAGGAAGAAGTTGAATCTCTGAATAGACCAATAACAGGCTCTGAAATTGTGGCAATAATCAATAGTTTACCAACCAAAAAGAGTCCAGGACCAGATGGATTCACAGCCGAATTCTACCAGAGGTACAAGGAGGAACTGGTACCATTCCTTCTGAAACTATTCCAATCAATAGAAAAAGAGGGAATCCTCCCTAACTCATTTTATGAGGCCAGCATCATTCTGATACCAAAGCTGGGCAGAGACACAACCAAAAAAGAGAATTTCAGACCAATATCCTTGATGAACATTGATGCAAAAATCCTCACTAAAATACTGGCAAACCGAATCCAGCAGCACATCAAAAAGCTTATCCACCATGATCAAGTGGGCTTCATCCCTGGGATGCAAGGCTGGTTCAATATACGCAAATCAATAAATGTAATCCAGCATATAAACAGAGCCAAAGACAAAAACCACATGATTATCTCAATAGATGCAGAAAAAGCCTTTGACAAAATTCAACAACCCTTCATGCTAAAAACTCTCAATAAATTAGGTATTGATGGGACGTATTTCAAAATAATAAGAGCTATCTATGACAAACCCACAGCCAATATCATACTGAATGGGCAAAAACTGGAAGCATTCCCTTTGAAAACTGGCACAAGACAGGGATGCCCTCTCTCACCGCTCCTATTCAACATAGTGTTGGAAGTTCTGGCCAGGGCAATCAGGCAGGAGAAGGAAATAAAGGGTATTCAATTAGGAAAAGAGGAAGTCAAATTGTCCCTGTTTGCAGACGACATGATTGTTTGTCTAGAAAACCCCATCGTCTCAGCCCAAAATCTCCTTAAGCTGATAAGCAACTTCAGCAAAGTCTCAGGATACAAAATCAATGTACAAAAATCACAAGCATTCTTATACACCAACAATAGACAAACAGAGAGCCAAATCATGGGTGAACTCCCATTCACAATTGCTTCAAAGAGAATAAAATACCTAGGAATCCAACTTACAAGGGATGTGAAGGACCTCTTCAAGGAGAACTACAAACCACTGCTCAAGGAAATAAAAGAGGACACAAACAAATGGAAGAACATTCCATGCTCATGGGTAGGAAGAATCAATATCGTGAAAATGGCCATACTGCCCAAGGTAATTTACAGATTCAATGCCATCCCCATCAAGCTACCAATGACTTTCTTCACAGAATTGGAAAAAACTACTTTAAAGTTCATGTGGAACCAAAAAAGAGCCCGCATCGCCAAGTCAATCCTAAGCCAAAAGAACAAAGCTGGAGGCATCACACTACCTGACTTCAAACTATACTACAAGGCTACAGTAACCAAAACAGCATGGTACTGGTACCAAAACAGAGATATAGATCAATGGAACAGAACAGAGCCCTCAGAAATAATGCCGCATATCTACAACTATCTGATCTTTGACAAACCTGAGAAAAACAAGCAATGGGGAAAGGATTCCCTATTTAATAAATGGTGCTGGGAAAACTGGCTAGCCATATGTAGAAGGCTGAAACTGGATCCCTTCCTTACACCTTATACAAAAATCAATTCAAGATGGATTAAAGATTTAAACGTTAGACCTAAAACCATAAAAACCCTAGAAGAAAACCTAGGCATTACCATTCAGGACATAGGCGTGGGCAAGGACTTCATGTCAAAAACACCAAAAGCAATGGCAACAAAAGCCAAAATTGACAAATGGGATCTAATTAAACTAAAGAGCTTCTGCACAGCAAAAGAAACTACCATCAGAGTGAACAGGCAACCTACAACATGGGAGAAAATTTTCGCAACCTACTCATCTGACAAAGGGCTAATATCCAGAATCTACAATGAACTCAAACAAATTTACAAGAAAAAAACAAACAACCCCATCAAAAAGTGGGCGAAGGACATGAACAGACACTTCTCAAAAGAAGACATTTATGCAGCCAAAAAACACATGAAGAAATGCTCATCATCACTGGCCATCAGAGAAATGCAAATCAAAACCACTATGAGATATCATCTCACACCAGTTAGAATGGCAATCATTAAAAAGTCAGGAAACAACAGGTGCTGGAGAGGATGCGGAGAAATAGGAACACTTTTACACTGTTGGTGGGACTGTAAACTAGTTCAACCATTGTGGAAATCAGTGTGGCGATTCCTCAGGGATCTAGAACTAGAAATACCATTTGACCCAGCCATCCCATTACTGGGTATATACCCAAATGAGTATAAATCATGCTGCTATAAAGACACATGCACACGTATGTTTATTGCGGCACTATTCACAATAGCAAAGACTTGGAACCAACTCAAATGTCCAACAATGATAGACTGGATTAAGAAAATGTGGCACATATACACCATGGAATACTATGCAGCCATAAAAAATGATGAGTTCATATCCTTTGTAGGGACATGGATGAAATTGGAAACCATCATTCTCAGTAAACTATCGCAAGAACAAAAAACCAAACACCGCATATTCTCACTCATAGCTGGGAATTGAACAATGAGATCACATGGACACAGGAAGGGGAATATCACACTCTGGGGACTGTGGTGGGGTCGGGGGAGTGGGGAGGGATAGCATTGGGAGATATACCTAATGCTAGATGACACATTAGTGGGTGCAGCGCACCAGCATGGCACATGTATACATATGTAACTAACCTGCACAATGTGCACATGTACCCTAAAACTTAGAGTATAATAAAAAAAAATAAAAAATAAAAAATAAAAAATAAAAAAATAATAACGGGCTCTCAAGTATGTTTTATAAAGATGTTTGCATATTCTCAAGCTTTATCTCAGTTTTAAACTGTCACTCAGTTATGTGGTAGATAAATTTAAGAAATGCACAGCAGGCTTGTTGGAAAATGAAAGAAGAGATTATCATAAGGAACAGAAAGAAAAAGTTTAGGAAATTTTGTTCCAATTATCTATAAAAATTAGTCCCACTAATGCTTGTTTCATAAGTTCTATTTGTCATCAAGCACCTATCTCTTCTGAATTTTCACATATGTGTAGTCAGCACTAATGATCTCGACAAAGTACATTCCATTCCTTTTTGTACACAGAGATGGATCTGAAACACACTTTCCCACAATTGTGCACCCAGCTGGGGGAGAATTTTGCTACCTCAATTTCTAATCAATGACATAATGATAGTTTTACTTCAGCTCAGTAATGCACAAAAAATACAGCTTTCTCCAAAGCAAACATGTTTTACTATGAAAAATTGTGAGAGAGAACAAAATAAAATGATTATGTGACATAAAAATGTGCATAGAAATTTATTTGAATACTTCATATCTAGCTACTCAGATGTGAAGATAATATCATAATAAAGGTTGTTATGCTGGAAAATGCAAATTCAAACTAATTGAATTACAGCCACTTGTTTGTCACAGCCACTGATATAAAAATATTGTCTCCTAATATAATGTGGGTTACATCAAAGTTTAAGTGGCTCATTACTTTATTGTAGAAATGTAGTTTCTAATTCTTCAAATTGTACCCAGAGGCTCAGAGCCAATTAGCACAAAAAATAATAAATACAGAAAATGTAAAAATTGAAAGCAAATTAATCATAGCTCACAGTAGTTCTTATAAGCAGCTAAAATAATGTAAGTTTGATGATAAAATGTAAACTTTGAAAGAGTATGACTTGTCACCATTAAAGACTACAGTTTTCCGATTAGTGCATATTTGCCTATATTAAATTCAAAACCAGGGAGCTTCCTGCCAGCTATTGCCAACATAAACCATATTTTTGTGCTATAAATAATTTGGGACTTCTTGATATCCCATAATATTATTCAGCTTTAAAAAAGGATAAACTACCATTTGTAATAACAGAGATGAGTCTAGAGGACATTATCCTAAGTGAAATAAGCCAAACATAGAAAGAAAAATACTGCATGATCTCAATGATATTTAATATCTAAAACTTAGTTAAATACATAGAAATAAACAGTAGAACAGTGGTTATCAGGCGTAAGGAGAGGAAAAAAATGGGGAGAAATTGGTCACAGAGTAAAAAGTTGCAGCTATGTAGGATGAATAGGTCTAGAGTTATAATGATGTACAGCATGAGGTCTATAGTTAATATTATTGTATAGTATACAAAAAGTTTACTAAGAGAGTAGATTTTAAGCGCTCTTACTATTTAAAAAATGGTAGCTATGGTATGTGATGGGTAGGTTAATGTTTTTGTCTGACTGTAGTGATCTTTTTACTACGCAGAGGTGTACAAAAACATCACGTTGAACACCTTAAATATAGACAATAAAAATAAATACATAAATACACAACTAAAAATAGAGACTGAATACAAGATATCAACAAGCCAAATCTCTTGTATAAAGCTGTTAGGACTATACAACATACTTCTGGAAATGCAATACCGGGAGGAATGCACTATACTTGCTCAATTTCACTTCTTCATAATTTTACGAGGGACCTTGGAATTTTCAAAGTGCGATTTATATGTAGTATGCATTCTCTTTCTCCTTGCTGTCTTTCTCCTCCTCTTTCCCTTTTAAACTACTTTAATGAAATTTGAACTACGATTCTGGGAATAACAGTTAAGCCATATTTTTAAAATGAATATGAATAGACAAAATATGGTCACTCATATTTTACCTTTCTTCCTTTTGAAAGTTAGACCTGTTTCAGTTCATATGAAAATAGATCACAAAACAGACCACAAGACAAGCTTAACAAGAGTCTGCTTAAGTATGTGCCTTGTTTTTTCTAGTTGACCTTTTCGTAGTTAATTATAGTCATTTGGCTGTCAAATTCTCAGCTTAGGATTCCCTACGATCTGCACCAAAACTCACAGTTGTCATTAATTGTTCTTCCATTTGTCATTTCACTAAATGTCCTAAGGACCAAATGCCCGCTTGCTTGCTTGCTTGCTTTCTCTCTCTCTCTTTCTTTCTCTTTCTTTTCTTTCTTTCTTTCTTTTCTTTCTTTCTTTCTTTCTTTCTTTCTTTCTTTCTTTCTTTCTTTCTTTCTTTCTTTCTTTCTTTCTTTTTCTTTCTTTCTCTCTTTCTCTCTTTCTTTCTTTCTTTCTTTTTCTCTTAGAACAAGGTCTCCTGGGCACGCATGATAGTGAGACAGGGCACAAAAGTTCAGTGTCACTGTTCATGCCATTTCCATTCTGTGTATTACATAGAGAACCACGGTCTCTGGACTCTCTTTCTGACATCTGGCTTAAGTTCTACTGATGACAGGTTCATTGTAAATGCGAAGATCTTTCAGGATCATCGATACAGGATGTAGCATGTTATTTCCTAGATGCGCATAACTTCATCCTGCATCCAGATTCACAGTGTAGGTTTTGTTCATTGTAAATGCCTATTTCTGACATAAACTTGACAGCTTCATCACAATAAATGCAAGGAAGAAAAATAGCGCAGAATATGTGACGTAAAGATATGTGGAGGGAAAAACCTGTAGAAATTTAGGAAATACAAATTATATTTTAAGTTTTATTGTTACAAATCATATAATTAGTTGATCTACTCCAAAAATAATTCATGTCCTTACCTCTCTACTAACTTGACTCTGATGTTCTCATTACTCTTTCAGGACAAGGATCTCTCCTATCTCTTTTGGGCAAGTTCTTAGCATTGGAAGTACTAAGAATGTATTGACTATTCTTTCATCTACTAGCATCAGTTATAAACTATTATGTTTATGTATCAGGAAAACTTTTTTCTGCTTTTTTACAAGAAGAAGGGTTATATTGCTTTACTATGCTTACAAAGTTGTATATCTTTCTGCCTTGAATATCAATTTTATTTGCAAAAACTATTATGTCGTTATTGTTGTTTTTGTTCTTAGTGTTATTATTATTATATAATTATAGATGTTAAAAATAACATACCAGAATTAATTATTTGTTGGGTCCAAGTAAGATCATGTTGTTTAGTAAAGTGGCTGATGTGATAATATTAGCAATTTAATGGATATATATATATATATGTGTAAGTATAAATTTTTATATATATGTGTATATATAAAAATTTATATATATATACAAATTGTGTGGCATAATTCCTCTTATTTTCAAAAATGAAATAGGTAAAACTGATTAAAAAGGTGGAGAGGTAGATGGTTTAGGAATATTTTTGATGGTAAGAACAGAAGAGAGTGAGAAAGAAGAGATATATTATTATGTCCTCTGTTGAGCTGCATGTGGATCTGAAGGGGAAAAAAAAAGCAGGAGTAGGGATACATGCAGAAAATGACCAAATAAACTCACAAAACTTGGCTCTGCCCAAGAAGAAAAATACAGAAATATCATGAGAGAAGAGATAAGGGATAAATAAATTCTGTGGTAAATGAATATGCTAGCGTAAATATGCCCGAGTTTATAGGTGTATGTCTCTAAGTAGCCATTCTCTTCCCCAAGCCTAATTAGTTATTTAAGCCTGTGGCAAACATTTCGGCTCAGAGCTCATAGTGGGTGCCTTTCACCCACCTATAATGCCAGAAATATACCTCCATGCCTTGTTTTCTTTTTTTGGACATAGGAGTAAAGCAGAAGAGGTCAAAAGTGAGTGAAATACCTCATTCACATCTAGATTTCTGGTTGTATGATACCATCATAACTATACTTTAAAAAATGTCATTCTATTGTGATACTAAAAGTTAAATTAACACGGGTCCTGTGTTTACAGGCTAGAAGTCATCAGAATGGATACAAAACTATGCTTTAAAGAGCATATTTTAAAATGCTTGGTAAATGTGGGTGTATACCCACATTCAGAGTATAGGTGCATCTGGCCATTTGGAACAGGTACAATTTAGCTTGTGCATGAAGACACCCCCACAAAGCTGCAGGTGTCACTTTCTAGAAAGTTGAGCTGGAATACGTGATTTCAAATTGCCATCCTGAAACTTCTTTATATCACTACTGCTTATTTTCACCTCTCTTCCTGTTTATGTAATGCTAGAATCCAGAGGAACCCAAATATCATGGCTTTTGAAACAATTGAAATTCCCTCAGATCAGAATTTGCATGGTATATGCCTCTCCTTGGCAATAAGGGTTTTGTTGTATTTATATTGAGACTAATTCAACTTTTTCTGCAGGCCAGATTGAAACTATTTTGAATACAGAATTTAGAATACAAACAACAACTTTCTCAAGCTTGCCTGAGTCTAATAGATAGAGGTATAAATATATAATAACACATACAGGTATATAATAAAAATATATATAATTACTAATTTGAGTTTTCCAGTAGCTAATTAGCTAAAAAAATTCTACCTTAGTTATCATGTCCAGGTCTTGTATATATTTGTAAGATACCTAGATCAATTAGACTTTACTAAGGGAATAGACAAATGATTGCTACATTAAGTAGAAATTCACTGAATGAATATTTATTAAAAACCTTCTATGTGCTAGATATTGTTGAAGGAACTACAGAAACACAAGTGAACAACTCAGACAAGACTGCTGCCATCATAGAGCTTACATTCTAGTGAGCTTACATTCAAGTTATTCTAGAAAAATAAATATTTGTTAATTCTCAAGACACTGAACAAAACTTTCCCAAGTATACAGTCCTCCTGTCATTTCTTATAATCTGATGATGCGCTCTCACTTCACAAAGATGATACTGATGTTGAGAGGTTAACAAAAGATATCATTATGCTATATGATTCTAATAAAACATTATCCAAGTCCAGGAGTGGTGGCATATGCCTATAGTCACAGCTACTGGGAAGGCTGAGGCAGGAGGATCACTTGAGCCCAGCAGTTCTAGGCTACAGTGAGCCATGATTGTGCCACTGCACTGCTGGGCAACAGAGTGAGATGCCTTCTGGTATATATCTACCTTTTCGTGATATATAGAATTTGAAATTAATTGGAAGCCAATTCAATCACACCATTGTAGGGTATTCATCAAAGGATAAAGTATTGTTGTCAGTGGTGTGTACACATTATTAGTTTGCCAATATTATGGATTCACAGACAAAAATGTTAGGCCTCTTAGTTAAGAGACCTATTCTAAATACCCCTCTTATTTCTCCAGAGGTGAAAACCCTTTCTATACCTCCATCTTCCCTTACTATATTATGTTAAAATTATCTATTTATGAACCTAAATATTTCCCGGAATCAGATTGCAGTATACTTATTTCTGAAGCCCAGCTCCTACCACAAGGCCTGACACAGAGTAAAGGCTCAGAATTTCTAATGGAAGAATTATTTAACAACCGTACTGTTTTTTTTAATGAGGATTTAAGTACCATTAAGTAAATAGTGTAATATAAAATCATCTGGAACTTTTTGTTTTAGAATCTGAAGAAATTTAGGATTCAGGGATGTTAACTGAACAACAGAATGACAGTATTAAGTTTGTAAAGTTTAAAAAACTAAAAACATTAAGTATATCTCTCTAGTCCTTTCTTACATCCTTTCTGAAATGTTAATAGTCTAATCCAATTGGGAAGTTGTGTGTGTTTTGTTTTCAAGTTCAAATTAAACAAAAAAGTAGAAAGCATATTTCTCAGAGTTCAGCCTGGCCAACATGGTGAAACCCCCATCCTACTAAAAATACAAAAATTAGCCAGGCGTGGTGGTGCATGCCTGTAATCCCATCTACTCTGGAGGCCAAGGCAGGAGAATTGCTTGAATCCAGGAGGCGGAGGATGCAGTGAGCCGAGATCATGCCATTGCATTGTAGCCTGGACGACAGAGTGAAACTCTGTCTCAAAAAAAAAAAAAAAAAAAAAAAAAAGCATATTTCTCAGAGATAATAAAAAACTATATATTTGTCATGTCAGTTAAGCTTTGCTAAGAAAAGCACTTTATCTATAATCATGGAGTTCTGTGGCTTCACAATGTAATACTTCAATTTAAAATTTAACAAAGTATTATATGACACTTGGAAAAGTGCAATACATTATCTCTAAAAAGATATACTAAAATCCTTCTTTGACAAGATGATGATCTTACCTCTGCTTAATATATGCTAAAAATGTTGTTCTCAAATTGTACCTTGATTGGGTGAGTGATAATAAAAAATCAGAAATATTTGGTAAGTTTATTTGCTTATATCAATATTTGGCAAGCAAAATAGCTCTCCTGGAAATATATGGAATGGATACAGCGAGAAAATACATCAATTATTAATTATGATGCAATTGTAGTTGGAGCATAATGGATAGAGTTAGTACATTTTATTCTAAAAAGAAATTTAAAAATAGAAGTGTATAGATATTTTAAATTGTGACTTGTGAGAGTCAATTTACTTTTTCACATCTTTGCATTTATGTCAATGATTTTTACTTTTAATGACTTTGCAGTCATTTATTGCAATGAGAAACCAATATATATTGAGCATTTGTGATATAAGTGTTTCACAAATGTTTGTTCTAACACATTACTATTGCACATTTTCAGATGAAAAAATCGAAACTATTAGACGTTCAAACTATAAAAAACTAATGGGGAATAAATAAGGGTCACATGTGTCCTGCATATTATTTTATATATTTATATAGGCTTATTTTCATGAAAGCCTTCATTTTCAACCATAATGCAAGTGTTCATAAATAAGATTGTAAAAAATGTACAACTTTCTATGTTAAATATAATGCCTTTTGTACCATTCAATCAGTGAATCTCACTCACCTCCACCGTCCAGTTAACAGTTAAAATAGATAATTTACATTTTCTTATTGTTTGGGTATTTGGGGGAGTTACTGTTATGTTACATAATAACAACAGCCATCAAAATAATTCATGTTTCTTGATGTATAAATAGCTAGCACTTAATCTCTATACTCTGTTCTGTATTCTGATAGTATTTTTCAATCTGATAATCTATTATAGTACAAGGAAAGGCAGTCCCAGAAGGCAAGCTTTGACCCTGTGTTCTACTACATAAAAAATTAATGCTCAGACTCACCGTCCAACCCAGCTTTAATAAAGCTACCCAAATTCTCTTGGCTGAATCTTTGGCAGGGTGATATCAATCAAAGTACTCAGTTTTGTATTTGCTAATTCAATAGGCAGGCTGAAGAGGCTTTCAGCTCTACATTTTCAGCTCTACATTTAGTAACACTTTTTACATATTTTCAATTTTTGCTGTGTTGACAGAAAAAAATGAGTTTCGAGAACTACAAGATGTTCTTTTCTAGAAGAAATGTTTCTTCTAAGTTTAACATAACTGGCCATTTCATCAATCTTTCTATTATTATGCAAGGCTATATCTTAAAGAAAAATAATATTATCTTTATTATCACAAGTAACTGAAATTTCATTGATTACTCAAAATAATACATCGACTCAGATAGATTGCTTGTCCTTTCAGACCTTAAAGATAGCTTCTAATTGTGATGAGCAATTATGTCATCTTGTTACATTATTATAAAGGCCAAATTATTCTTCATTGTAAATGTGCTTCTTATGATGTGTAAAAACATGTGAACATTTTTACAAAATAGATGAAGCCTTCCTGATATTTTCCTACGTCATTATTCTTATCATTAATTACTAATGTTTCTGGGGTAAATACAGTATTATATATTTATGTTAGACATCTTTTTAAATATACTTAAAAACTTGAATTTAAATATACTTAAAAATTTGAGCCATATAAACAATGAAAGATTGCTCCAAATATGATTGCCTATATTTATAATTTTTGCTACAATAGTAATTATTGAAATAACTATGAAATCTTATTGTCTGAAAAATCTCAGACCTCATTTTATATGTAAATACAAACAAATATGTATTAATAAATGTATGAAAATGAATATGTATAATTAATTTTTAAAGAAACAATTTCAAAAATTTATATTGGTCTTTGATAGAAATCAGTTTTAATACAATTTAAGAATATTCATCTAAAGTCTTAATTTATACTCATCCTTTTTTATGTTTCCTCCTCATTTTATACAGCAATCACATTAAAAAAAATTTTTTACATGAATAAGTTCTTTAGTGGTGATTTCTGAGATTTTGGTGCACCTATCACCCAAGCAGTGTATGCTGTACTCAATATGTAGTCTTTTATTTCTCACCCCTCTCCTACCCTTTCCCCCAAGTCCCCAAAGTCCATTGTATCATTCTTATGTCTTTGCGTCCTCATAGCTTAGCTGCCACTTATGAGTGAGAACATATGAGGTTTGATTTTCAATTGCTGAGTTACTTCACTTAGAATAATGGTCTCCAATTCCATCCAGGCTGCTGCAAATGCCATTATTTTGTTCCTTTTTATGCCTGAGTAGTGTTCCATGGTATGTACATATATATATATGATACCACCTTATTCTGGCAAACATGGCCATAATGAAAAAATAATAAATTAATAGATGTTGGCATGGATGTGGTGAAAAGGGAACACTTTTACACTGCTGAAGGGAATCTAAATTAGTACAACCCCTTTGAGAAACAGTATGGAGATGTCTTAAAGAACTAAAAGTAGATGTACCATTCGATCTAGCATATATATATACGTATATATATATACACACACATATATATGTATATATATACGTATATATATACACACATATATATACGTATATATATACACACATATATACATACGTATATATACATATATACATATATATACACATATATATACATATATATACACTTACACACACACACAGATTTTCTTTATTCACTCATTGTTTGCTGGGCATTTGGGCTGGTTCCACATTTTCACAATTGTGAATTGTGCTGCTATAAACATGCCTGTGCAAGTATCCTTTTCATATAATGACATTTTTTCCTCTGGGTAGATATCCAGTAGTGGGATTGCTGGATCAAATGTGACAAGATATATGTATGACAAAGTCATTTTTCTTCCCATGTTCTTTCACAATGAAACATATTTACGTTAAATGAATGGCATCATTAAACTACCAAATCTAAAATAAACTATTGTTTGTTTCGGAATTTGTATAATGAACTTTAGCAAAATGTTGGACATAATTTTATAAATAAAATAAAGTACATAATTTATAACACATCGATATGTAATTTATGAAAATTGGGTGTAAATTCTTCATAAGTGAAAGATCATAGACCTTATTCAGAGTGTATTATTGGCTCTCCAGTTTCTTGAGCCTTCATAAGTCTTGAATAACTATTTTTCTTTTTATGTAATCTTATCTTCCCTTTCTATGCAAAATTATTTAAATGCATCATTAAAAGCAACATCTGTGTCACATGTGAAAAAGCTGACAAATTTTCCCATGCCAAGGTACAGTCTGTTGGCCAAGTGACAACACGAGGAACATTACCCACTGCAAGAACTGCCTTTGAGGAATAATTCAAATTCCAATGCATGGAGAAAATACCATTTTTCCAGTAATAGTTCACTACCTCTGACTATAGTGTAAAAGGTAATAAATTGTTTAGGTACAAGGAATGTCAAACAAGCCCGGTGTCACAATTGTGAGGCTTCTCTTTGTCTTTATGAAATTATTGTAACCAATGTCTCTGTGTTAATTTATAAATTCGTTGCATCACTTTTGTAAAAGAACAAAATATGGATTATCATGATGTCAAACATAAAGCTTACAAGAGCCAGATAATTTAGTTTGAGTTTAGATGTATGTCTTGTCATACGGCTTCAGGGAATTTAATAAATACCTTGGTTATCTTTGAGGGATAAAAAAGACAATTAATTTACATGTTTCACATCTTTCCTTGAAATACCTCATACACTAAAATGTATCAAAGGATAAGATTAGAAAGGAAATATTATGTTTAATGTTTGGTGTCAGATACTTAAGTTAGACACAATATACTGTTCCCATGGATGTTAAAATGCAAACATTGCTGTCAGATTCTTAAAGTGATTTTCCTCTTTATTACTAACAATCTGATTTAAACTATTTATAAGGAGTCTACACATAAAACTTTGAAGACTAAGAGAAAAACAAAGTAAAGGAAGAATGTTCCCAATAATTTTAATGAGACATGTGTGAGTAACAGATACTATAACCATAGATTTATATACATACATCTATTCATTTACATCAAGACTTCACTGAAGTTTTAAAATATGCTAAAAAAATGCAAGTTAAACATTGGTACCTGGCTTATCATCTTCACAGTTAGACTTTACTAAACAGAGAGGTTAGCTTAATTAAAGGTAAAAGACAAACCAGATTTAGTTATGGGAATGGAGACTTCAAGGTGTATTTAACAATTACAAGATAACTTGATAAACTCATAAAAAAATTATCTCCTCTGTTTCTTAAAAGTGGCTGAAAATACTAATAATGATAAAAGAACAGAATTATGCACACAGCTGTATTTTCTAATTCATAGAAAATTATTTCACAGGTTAATGAAAACAAGCAGTGCCTCTTTTATTAATATTTGAAATAAAAACAAAATGAAATTGATTTTGCCTAAAAGCTAAGTGGGTAGCCAATAAAAGTTCAATCTAGAAAAAAAATAATGGAAAAATAAGAATGCTATTATTGTATTAGCATAATATTTAACATCTACGATGTCTAAGGGGCAGTGCTAAATTATTTGTGATACTTGCTATTGATATTTATATTTTACAAATGAGTAAACAGACTTTAAGAGGTTAAATGATTGGAGCTGAGCAAGATGGCCAACTAGAAGCAGCCAGGTGGAACGGCTGCCACTGAGGGATCCTGACAGCTGCTGCACTCCTAACAGATCTTCAGAGGAAAGGCACTGAGAGTGGACAAAGGGAAGACAAAAATGGGCTGAAGAGGGAGGAAGCTGGGAATACTGCAAGGGGCTACTGTGCAGCAGGACTCGTTCCTGGCCCCCAGTAACTCTAAGGGAACAGGTAAGTTGAACTGGCAAGGAGCAATTAGCACTCACCATGGACCTCTGGAATCCCAGCAGTAGGAAACCACTTGACTACCACAGACACTTGCGTTGGCAGAGAGAGCTGCTTAGAGAAGTAGTAAGGGCAGCCTTTCATCCAGTGAGGAGTGCAGAGGGTTTGGTGTGGGAGCGTCTGTAGCAGACCATGGTCAGGGACTCTCACCCCCGAGGCTTGACTTGCTCTAATAGGAGAATTTATCCCTAGAGGAACTGTCAGGCCTGAACTCTGCAGGCCCATCAGAAGGGGATGGTCCAACCTGCGCACCCCTTGGTCTGCTGGCCTGTCCCAGAGGCCCAGCCTGACTCTGCCTCTTTGCGGTGCAACCTCTGGTGCCCTGGGGACCCACATCATAGCTCCTGCACTGGTGGACTGCACCACACTGGCAGAGAGCTCCAGCAGAGCAAAGCCCATGGCCATGCACTAGCTCACACCCTCCCTCCCTCAACTGCATCTACCCTCAGGCCCACGGCCCTTCCCCATATTGCCTTGCTGGTGAGTGTGTGTGAGGTGGCTTTTGCATTCCGTGTCCCCTCGGTGTGTGTGTGTGGGGTGTGTGTGTGTGGGGTGTGTGTGTGTGTGAACCCTGCCCTTCCACTGCTGCCAGCATGAGTTCACTCCACCTCCTCTCTCCCCACTGTACTGTCATTGCAGTCAGAGCCTTGGTGGGCACAGAGCCCAGCAGCCCCACCTTTGCCAGGCCCCTGCCCCTGTGCCAATGCTATTTCCAGAGTGAAACCAGGAACAGAGAACAGCAGACCCTCACATTCCCTGAGTGGGGACCTCTGCCTGCATGAATGCACATAGAGGGTGCACAAAGACCTGCACCTGACAGCGTCCAGCCCTTGCGCTAAAACCACCACCAGTATGACCACATGCACAGTCACCAGAGGGGATCCCCATCCTAGAGAGCCATGCTGCCTCTGTCGCTGCTGTGAATGTGTGTAGGGAGACCAGTACCCCAATACCCACTAGGTGCCCTGCCACAGCCAACATGCAGGTACCACACAGTGCTGCCACTGTCACTGCTGCTGGCACATGCAAACAAGGACAGATCCCACTGCCACTGACCTACCAAATGTTTTGGCTGGCACCAGCCATCAAAGTGTAGTGATCAGTAGTCTGGGAGCATTTCAGCCTTCCGAGCACATTGGGTTCCTAACTTTGAGGAGCCAGAGAACAAAGACAGGGCCCAATACCAGTCTCCCAGAGTTACAGCACGTAGTATAGAAGTTGGGAGCAGAGACTTGGCCCCCCAAATTCTTCCAGAAATGAAGCCAGTTGACTGAACTAAGCTTGTACCACAACTAAACCCTCAAGGGCATCTAATAGGATTAAAAAAAAAAAACAAAAAACCTCACAAAACAGCAACTTCGAAGACTAAAGGAACATCAGCCCACAAAGACAAGAAAGAACAGTGCAAGAACTCTGACAACTCTAAAAGCCACAGTGTCTTCTTTCCTCCAAATGACCACACCAACTCTCTAGCAACGGTTCTTCACTGGGCTGAAAAAGCTGACATGACAGAAATTGAATTCAGAATATGAATAGAAACTAAGATCATTGAGATGCAGGAGTACATTGAAACCCAATTCAAAGAAGGTAAGAATCATAATAAAATGATGCAACAACTAACAAACAAAATAGGTCTTTATAGAAAATAATATAACTGAGCTCTCAGAGCTGAAAAACACACTACAAAAATTTCATAATGCAATCACAAGTATTAATAGCAGAATTGACCAAGCTGTGGAATGAATCTCAGAGTCTGCAGGTCGGCTTTCTAAAATAATACAGTCAGACAAGAATAGGGAAAAAAGAATTAAAAGGAATACATAAAACCTCCAAAAAAATGGAATTATGGAAAGAGAACAAATCTATGAAGCATTGTTGTCCCTGAAAAAGACGAGGAGAATGGAAGCAACTTTGAAAACATATTTCAGGATATCATCCATGGTCACTTCCCCAACCTAGTTATACAAGCCAAGAATCAAATTCAGGAAATTCAGAGAACCTCAGTAAGATACTTTACAAGAAGATCATTCCAAACACAATCATCAGATTCTCCAAGGTCAAAATAAAAAAAAAAAATTAAAGGCAACTAGAGAAGAGTCAGGTCACCTAAAAAGAGAACCCCATCATACAAACAGCAGACCTCTCAGCAGAAACCTCACAAGCCAGAAAAGATTGAGGGTCTATATTCAACATTCTTAAAGAAATTTCAACCCAGAGTTTCATATCTGGCCAAACTAAGCTTCCTAAATGAAGGAGAAATGACATTATCTTCAAACAAGCAAATGCTGAGGGAATTCATTACCAACCAACCTGCTTTACAAGAGCTTCTGATAGAAGCACTAAATATGGAAAGGAAAGGCAGTTACCAGCCACTACAAAAACATACTGAATTACACAGGCCAGTGACGCTATGAAGAACCACACAGACAAGTCTGCAGAATAACCAGCTAACATGATGATGATAGAATCAAATCCATACATATCAGTACTAACCTTGAACGTAAACAAGCTAAATGCTCTCAATTAAAAGGCACAGACTGTTAAGTTGCATAAAGAACCAAGACCCATTGTTATGCTGTCTTTGAGAGACACATCTCACATGCAGTGACACCCATGAGCTCAAAATAAAGGAATAGAAAAAAATATACAAACAAATGGAAAACAAAAAAGCAGGGATTTCAATCCTAATTTCAGAAAAAACATATTTTCAACCAACAAATATAGAAAAAAGCAAAGATGGGCATCACATAATGGTAAAGGGTTCAATTCAACAAGAAGAACTTACTGTCCTAAATATATATGCACCCAACACATTAGCACTCAGATTCATAAAACAAGTTCTTAGAGATCATCAAAGTGACTTAGACTCCCACAAAATAATAGTGGGAGATTTCAACACCCTTTGACAGTATTAGACAGATAATTCATGAAGATATTTAGGAACTAAACTCCGCACTGGACCAAATATACTTAATAGACATTTACAGAAATCTCTACCCAAATACCACAGAATGTACATTATTCTCAATGCCACTCAGCACATACTCTAAAATTGACCACATAATCGGACACAAAACACTCCTCAGCAAATGCAAAAGAACTGAAATAATAAGAATCACTCCCTCAGATCATTGCACTATCAAATTAGGAAGCAAGACTAAGAAAATTGCTCAAAACCATACAATTAAATGGAAATTGTATAATTTGCTCAGGTTGTGAATGACTTTTGGGTAAATAATGAAATTGAGGCAGAAATCAAGAAGTTATTTGAAACTCATAAGAACACAGATACAATATAGCAGAATCTCTGGGACACAACTAAGGCAGTGTTAAAGTGGAAATTTATAGCACTAAATACCCACATCTAAAAGTTAAAAAAATCTCAGTTGAACCACCTAACATCACAACTAAAGAAAACTAGAGAAGCAAGATCAAACCAAGCCCAAAGCTAGCAGAAGACAAGAAATAACCAAAATCAGAGCTGAACTGAAGGAAAATGAGACAGGAAAAAACATTCAAAAGATGAATGAATCTAGGAGGTTTTTTTTTTTAATTAGTGAAATAGATTGTGTAATAGTCCATTTTTACGTTGCTATAAAGAAATACTTGAGAGTGGGTAATTTTTAAAAGAAAGAAGTTTAATTGACTCGCAGTTCCACATGGCTGGGTAGGCCTCAGGAAACTTATAATCATAGCAGAAGGCAAAGGGGAAGGAAGTACCTTCTTCACAAGGTGGCAGGAGAAAGAACATGTGAAGGAGAAACTGTCAAACACTTATAAAACCATAAGATCTCGTGAGAACTCATTCATTATCACAAGGCCACCATGGGGGAAACTGCTCCTATGATCCAATCACCTCCTTCCCTTGACACATGGAGATTACATGTTCCTCCCTGGAAACATGGGGATTATAATTTGAGATGAGATTTTGAGGGGAACACAGAGCCAAACCATATCAGATTTCTAGGTACACTCATACAGAAAAAAAGGGAAAAGTTCCAAATAAACACAATTAGAAATGACAAAGAAGATATTACCACTGACCCCACAGAAATACAAATAATGATCACAGAAGATTAATGACCAGCAATAATACCCAAGCAATACTTCTAGTGCCTTGGGGTGAAATTCTGAGACTTGTTGGACTCAGGCTACAATCAGCACATTTCCTGCTGTGTGTGTAGGGGGCAAGACTCCCTCTGATTGAGAAATGAGGAGGGAAAAGGGAACTTTGTCTTGGACCTTAAGTCCTAGCTCACCACAGTGGAGTAGAGCACGAAGTGGACCCTTGAGGTCCCCATATCTAGGACATGGATGTTGGACAGCATTTCTGGACCTGCCCTGGGTGAGAGAGGAGCCCATTGTTCTGAAGGGTGAGTCCCAGGCCAGGTATCAATCATCACAAGCTGACTGAAGAGACTTTGGACCTAAACGAAACATCAGCAATAGCTTGGCAGTATTCTCCATGGCCTCATGTTGGCAGTGGCCACAGGGTGAAACTCCTCTACCTTTGGAAAAAGGAAAGAAGAGTGGGAAGGATTGCATCTTGTGGTTTGAGTGCCAGCTCAGTTGCTGTACAATAGAATACCACTTAGACATCTAAGGTATTTAATGCTAGTCTCTGGCTCCTGGATGGCACATCTGGACATACCTGGGGCCTGGGGAAATTCGCCATCTTGAAGGGAAGAACACAGGCCTGAAAGGCCTTACCAGCAGCTTACTGTAGAGCCCCAGGGCCTTGGGAAAACATAGGCAGTAGTCAAGTTGAGGTTGTATCAGGCCTTGAGTGAGGCCCAGTATTGTACTGGCATCGGGTCTGACCCAGCACAATCCTAGTAGTGGTGGTCACAGAGGTGCTTGTGTCATTCCACCAATAACTCCAGGCAGCTCAGAACAGAGAGCGAGAGAGAGACTCCATTTTTTTTTTTTTTTTGGAAGAAAGTAAGAAAAGAGAACAAGAGTTTTTGCCTGATAATCTACAGAATTCTTCTGGATGTTGTCCAAAACCACCAAGGCAGTACCTCTACAAGTCTGCAAGAACCACAGTTACTTAGTTCTTAAACTTAAAAAGTTGTCCTGGGCTTCGGGCTTCTTGCGTTCTCTAATACAGATATATTTTAGATCACAACATCAAAGTTCTTTGAAATATCTGGAAAGCCTTCCTGGGAAAGATGAGTACAAACAAGTCCCTACTGCAAAGATAACAATAAATACCTTATTCCTCAATGCCCAGACACAGATGAAAATCCATAAATATCAAGACTATCCAGGAAAACATGACCTTACCAAATAAACTAAATAAGGCACCAGGGACCAATCCTGGAGAAATAGAGATATGTGAACTTTCAGACAGAGAATTAAAAATAGCTGTTTTGAGGGAACTCAAAGAAATTCAATGATAACACAGAGAAGAAATTTAGAAGTCTGTTAGATAAATTTAACAAGGAGATTGAAATAATTAGAATGAATCAAGTAAAAATTCTGGTGCTGAAAAATGCAATTAACATACTGAAGAATGCATAAGAGTCTTTGTATTAGTCCATTCTCACACTGCTGATAAAGACACATACGAGACTAGGTAACTTACAAGGTAACAGAAGTTTAACCACAGTTCCATGTGGTTGGGGAGGCCTCAAAATCATGGTGGAAGGCAAGGAAGAGCAAAGTTACATCTCACATGGCAGCAGGAAAGAGAGAGCTTGTGTAGGGGAACTCTCCTTTATAAAACCATCAGATCTCATGAGACTCATTCAGTATCATGAGAACAGCATGGGAAAAGCCCATCCCCATGATTCAGTTACCTCCCTCTGGGTCCGTCCCACAACCCATGGGAATTATGGGAGCTACAATTCAAAATGAGATTTGGGTGGGGACACAGCCAAACAATATCAGTCTTTTAATAACAGAATTGATCAAGTAGAAGAAAGAATTAGTAAGCTTGAAGATAAGCTATTTGAAAATACACAGAAGTAAAGAAAAAAGAATAAAAGTAATGACATACAACTACAGAATCTAGATAACAGCCTCAAAAGAGCAAATCTAAGAGTAACTGGCCTTAAAGAGGAGGTAGAGAAAGAGATATGAGTAGGAAGTTTTATCAAAGAAATAATAAAAGAGAACTTCCAATACCTAGTGAAATATTATCAATATCCAAGTATAAGAAGCCCAAAGAACATCAAGGAGATTTAACCCAAAAGAGACTATCTCAAAGCATTTAATAATCAAACTCCCAAAGGTCAAAAATAAAGAAAGGATTATTTTAGAAAGAGCAGCAAGAGAAAACAAACAAATAACATACAATGGAGCACCAATACATCTGGCAGCACATTTCAGTGGAAACCTTACAGGGCATGAGAGAGTGGCATGACATATTTAAAGAAGTGCTGGAGAAAAAATACTTTCACTCTATAATAGTATATCTGGTGCAAATATCCTCTAAACATGAAGGAGAAATAAAGACTTCCCCCAAAAAACAAAAGCTGAAGGATTTTAACAACACCAGACCTGTCCTTCAGGAAATACTAAAGAGAGTGCCTCAATTAAAAAGAATAGAATGTTAATGAGCAACAAGAATTCATACAAAGGTACAAAACTGACTGGTAATAGTAAATACACAATAAATACAGAATATTATAACACTGTAACTTTGGTGTGTAAACTATTCTTATCATAAGTAGAAATATTAAAACAGGAACCAATAAAAAATAATAACTACAACTTTTCAAGACCTAGACAGTATAACAATATATAAATAAGAACAACAAAAGATTAAAAAGTAGGGTAATAAAATGTAGAGTGTTTATGAGTTTTCTCTACATTTTTATGTTTGTTTGTTTATACAGTGTTAAATTATTATTAGCTTAAAATAATGGGTTATAAGATAGTATTTGCAAGTTTCATGGTAACCTTAAATCAAAAAACAGATAACTGACTGACAAAAAATTTAAAAAAAAAACTAAATTGTATCACCAGAGAAAATCATCTTAACTAAAAGAAGAAAAAAGGAAGGAAAGAAGGAAGAGAAGGCCACAAAATGAACAGAAAACAAATAACAATATGGCAAGAATAAGCCCTTATTTGTTAATAATAACATTTAATGTAAAAACAACTAAATTCTCCAATCAAAAGGCATAGAGTGGATTAATGGATTAAAAAAACTATATAATCTATTGCCTACAAGAAATATACTTCACATTTAAAGGCACTCATACATTGCAAATAAACAGATGGTAAAAGATATTCCATGCCAATAAAAACTAAAAAAGAGTGGTAGTAGCTAGACTTATATCAGACAAATTATATTTCAATATAAAAACTATGAGACAAAGAAAGTCACTATATAATGATAAATGGGTCAATTCAGGAAAAGGATATAACAATTGTAAATATATATGTGCTCAATACTACAGCACTCAGATATATATAGCAAATATTATTGAGCCACAGATAGAGATAGGCCCCAATACAGTAATAGGTGGAGACTTAAACACCACACTTTCAGCACTGGACCTTTCAGACAGAAAATCAACAACAACAGCAACAGCAAAAAAAATTGAACTTAATCTTCACTATAGAACAAAAAAACCTAATAGTTACAGAAAATTTCACCCATCTGCTGCAGAATACACATTTTTCTCCTCAGCAAAGAGATCATTCTCAAGGAAAGGTCATATATTAGCTCAAAAAACAATTCTTAAAACATTCAAAAAAGTCAAAAATTATCAAGCACCTTCTCTCACCACAATGGACTAAAACTAGAAATTAATTACAAGAGGAATTTTGGAAACCATACACTCACATAGAAATTAAACAATATGCTGCTGAATGATCAGTATGTTAATGCAGAAATTAAAAAGAAATTTGAAAAAATTCTTGAAACAAATTATAATGGACACACAACATACTGAGCCCTATGGGATATAGCAATAGCAGTACTTAGAGGGAAGTTTATAGCTGTAAGTGCCTACACTAAAAAATGAGAAAAACTTCAAGTAAACAACCTAACGACGCATCTTAAACAACAGGAAAAGCAAGAGCAAACAAAATCCAATATTAATAGAAGAAAAAGAATAATAATAGAAGATAAATCAATGAAATCAAAACAAATAAATCAATACAAAAGATCAATGAAATAAAAAGGTTGTTTTGTTAAAAGTTAAACAAAATTGACAAGCCTTTAGCCAGACTAAGAGAAAAGAGAGAAGACCTGAATAAAACCAGAGTTGTAAAAGGAGACATTACAACTGATACCACAGGAATTCAAAAGATGATTAATGGCCATTATTAGCAACTATATGCCAATAAATGGAAAAAGCCAGAAGAAATTGACAAATCCTAGACACATATAGCCTATCAAGTTTAAACCATTAAGAAATCCAAAACCTGAACATATCCATAACAAATAATGAGCTCAAAGCCATAATAAATATCTTCCAGCAGAGAGGAAGTCAGACTATCTCTGTTTGCAGATGACATGACCCTATATCTAAAAAAAAAAACAAACAAAAAAAACATTTTTTCAGCCCCGAAGCTTCTGAAGCTGTTAAACAACTTCACCAAAGTCTCAGGACACAAAATCAATGTGCAAAAAGTGCTGGTATTCCTATACATCAACAACAGTTAAGCTGAGAGCCACAAACAGATGCCTATTCACATTTGCCACAAAAAGAATAAAATACCTTTGAATACAGCTAACCAGGGAGGTGAAAAATCTCTACAAGGAGAACTACAAGCCACGGCTCAGAGAAATCAGAGATGACACAAACAAATGGAAAAACATTTTATGCTCCTGGATAGAAATAATCAATATCATTAAAATGGTCATCCTGCCTAAAACAATGTATACATTCAATGCTATTCCTATTAAATTATCAATGACATTCTTCACAGAAATAAAATTTTAAAAAATTATTTAAAAATTTATATGGTACCAAAAATAGCCCTAATAGCCAAGGTAATCCTAAACAAAATGAACAAAGCCAGAGGTATCATACTACCTGACTTCAAACTATACTATACTACAGGATTATAGTAACCAGAATGGCATGGCACTGGTACAGGAACAGACACATAGGCAAATGGAATAGAATAGAGAACCCAGAAATAAGACCACACACCTACAACTCTCTGATTTTTGACAAACCTGACCAAAAAAAAAAAAAAAAAAAGAAGCTCTGAAGAAAGGATTTTCTATTCAATAAATGGTGTTGACATAACTGACATATGCAGAAGATTGAAACTGGACCCCTTCCTTACACTATATACAAAAATAAACTCAAGATGGATTAAAGACCTAAACATAAAACCCAAAACTATAAAATTCCTGGAAGATAACCTAGGCAGTATCATTCCGGATACAGGCGCTGGCAAAAGTTTCATAAAAAAAATTCCAAAAGCAATTGCAACAGAAGCAAAAATTGACAAATGAGATCTAAGTAAATGAAACGGCTGCTTCATAGCAAAAATAAACTATCAACAGAGTAAACAATCTATGGAATGACAGAAAATTTTTGGAAACTCTGTATCTGACAAAGGTCTAATATCCAGCATCTATAATGAACTTAAAAAAATTACAAAGAAAAAAAACAACTCCATTAAAAAGTGGCAAAATACATGAGCAGACACTTTTCAAAAGGAGACATACATGTGGTCAACAATCATATGAAAAGAGCTCAACAACATTGATTGTTAGAGAAATGCAAATCAAATCCACAATGAGATACTATCTCACACCAGTCAGAATGGCTACAAAAAAGTCAAATAGTAAGAAATCCTGGTGAGGTTGTAGAGAAACAGGAAAACTTATCCACCGGTGGTGAGAGCGTAAATTATTTCAGCCACTGTGGAAGACAGTGTGGCAATTACTCAAAGACCTAAAGACAGAAATAACATTTGACCCAGCAATCCCATTACTGGGAATATATCCAAAGGAATATTAATCATTCTATTATAAAGACACATGCATGCATATGTTCACTGCAGCACTACTTACAATAGCAAAGATATGATATCAACCTAAATGTCAATCAATTACAGACTGGGTAAAGAATATGTGGTACATATACACCATGGAATACTATGCAGCCATAAAAAAGAACAAGATTATGTCTTTTGCAGGAACATGAATTGAGCCTAAGGCCATTATTTTTACCAAAATAACACAGGGCCAGAAAACCAAATACCACATTTTCTCACTTATTAATGAGAGATAAATTATGAGAACACATGGGCACATAGAGGAGAACCACACACACTGGGGTCTCTTGGAGGATGGAGGGTGGGAGGAGAGAGAGGATCAGGAAAAACAACTAATGGGTGCTAGGCTTAAAACCTGGTTGATGAAACAAACTGTGCAACAAATCCCCATGACACAAGTTTACCTATGTAACAAACCTACACTTGTACCCCTGAACTTAAAAGTTAAAAAAAAAAAGAAAAAATATATCTTCCAGCAGAAAAATAGCTGAGGACCAGAGGGTTTCACTGCTGACTTCTAACGAATATTTAAGAAAGAACTAATACCAATTCTATTCAAACTATTCTAGAAAATAGAGAAGGAGGGAACACTACAAAACTTATTCTATGAGGCTAATATTACCCTGATACCAAAACCAACAACATATCAGAAAAAGCAAACAGGCCAATATCACTGATGAATATTGATGCAAAAATCTTCAACAAAATATTAGCAAACTGAATTCAACAACACATTGAAAACATCATTCATCATGACCAAGTGGGATTTAACCTAGAGATGCAAAGATGGCTCAATGTATGCAAATCAATCTATGTGATTCATCATATCAACAGACTAAAAGACAAAAATCATATGATTATTTCAATTGATGCTGAAAAATTACTTGATAAATTCAACATTCCTTCATTTAAAAAAATTCTCTAAGAATTGAGTATAGGATGAACATACCTCAATATAATAAAGGGCGTATACAACAGACCTACAGCTAGTATCATACTGAAAGGGGAAAAAACGAAAAGTGTTTTCTCTAAGATCTGGAACATGATAAGGAGGACCACTGTCACCAGTGTCATTCAACATAGTACTGGAAGTCCTAGCTAGAGCAATCAGACAAGAGAAAGAAATAAAGGGCATCCAAGTTGAAATGGAAGAAGTAAAATTGTTCTTGTTTGTTAATGATATGATATTATATTTAGAAAAACCTAAAGAGTCCACAAGAAAATGATTAGAACTGATAAACAAATTTAGTAATTTTGTATGTTGATTTCGTATCCAAAATCCAACAACATATCAGAAAAAGAAAACAGGCCAATATCACTGATGAATATTGATTTCATATCCAAAATCAACATACAAAAACCAGTAACATGTTTATGTGCCAACATTAAGGAATCAAGAAATTTATCCCATTTACAATAGCTACAAATAAAATAAAATATGATAAATTAATCAAGGAAGTGAAATTCTCTACAATGAACACTGTAAAACTTTGATGAAAGAAATTGAAGACACAAAAAATGAAAAGATATTACATGTATGTGGAAAAATAAATATTGTTAAGATATTCATACTCCCAAAGTAATCTACAGATTCAATGCAAACCCCTGTAAAATAATCACGACATTCTTCACATTAATTGAAAAAAAAATTCTAAAACTTATATGGAACCACAAAACACGCAGAATAGCCAAAGCTATCCTAAGCAAAAAAAAACTACATTGGAGAAATCACATTACCTGATGTCAAATTATACTACAGAGCTATACTAACCAAAATAGTATTGTACTGGCATAAAAACAGACATATAGACCAACGGAACAGAATAGAAAACCCAGAAATAAATTCATCTACAGTAAACTCATTTTCAACAAATGTTCCAAGAGTATACATTAGGGAAAGGACAGTTTCTTCAATCAATACTTCCTGGAAAACTGAAAACTGGATATCCATATGCAGAAGAATGAAACTAGACCGCTACCTCTTGCCATACACAAAAAAATCAAATCAATGCATATTAAAGACTTAACTCTAAGATTTCAAATTATGAAATTACTAGAAGAACACTTTGGGGAAACTCCTCAGGAAATCTGAGTGTGCGAAAACTCTTTGAGCATTATCCAACAGGCACAGGCAACCAAAGCAAAGATGGACAAATGAGATCACATTTCATTATTCAGATGATAGGCAGAAATGTATCATGGACATTAGAACTGATTATAGAAGAACAGAAGAAGTACCCCAACACAGTGTAAAAAGTCAAAAGCAACATTTTACATTTAAAATACCAAAAATTGATAAAGTATGTTGTTAATATTGCTAATATGTCAAAATTAAAGATTAAAGGTAAGTTTCTTCCTTACATAACAATTCAGGTTTATGACGGATTTCAGGAAAATTTTTTCTTTAAGTGCTCTTTCTATTTCATCAAAACATCAATGTATTATACATTACAGTTTAAGATAAAAGTGTATGAGTGAAATAAATTATTGTTATAAAGAACAGTGGAACAATAGGACAGAAACATCACCAAATATAAAGTGGACAACAAAGAAATGTGTGCATATGCACAATGAGTGCAGATATATTTGGAACATTCAATATATCCTGCAGCATTTTAAAATTTTATCAGCACAAAAAATATATATATTTTTCAACTGATTGCTTAAACTCCATGTTTTTAGAAATATTTTGTCTGTCAACCTTAACTTATCATAGGTTCCCATGTAATCCATGTGTTATAATTTGGCAAAGAAAATGCATATTACATATTATTTACAAATTCATAAACAATGTAAACTTTGTTAGTAATTTAGAAAACATATACAATTTATAGATCAAATTGGAATAGAATACAGAAAAATATAATTATATCTTTAATGGCTGCTCAAACAAAATACTGAAAATGCTTATACTATCAGAGGAGAGAAATGAATAATAAATTCATAGGTAATTTGAAAGTAACTACTTTAAGCCAAATAAATAACTATAGAGTCACATTTATTTTATTATCTAAAGATTGATGACACACAATTTAGAAAAAGCATTCAGATATATAAGATATCCAACTGACTGAATGCCCTTCCTAGATTTCAGATATTTTAAATGTATCAAAAATGTGTTTGAAGCAAACAGTTGATGTTTTATGAGTAGCAAAAAGGTAAACAGTTCTTAAACACAAATCAGCACTTCATTTTAAAATGAAACATGCAACATGGTGATGGTTTGTGTTGATTTCTACTGTACCTTTCTTTAGTCCAGGTATGAAAGCTAAAAAGAAATTTTAATAAAGTTAAACACAATAAATATTTTCTCTTATTTCTACAACATTATATTAGCATACCTAAATAAATATAATTTGTAAGGTATTGCAATATATTTTCTACTTCACTTTACAAAGAATGTGATAATTGAGACATAGTAGGACTGCTGCTCCTTCACATTTGTATTTTGTAATACATTTTTATAGAATTGGACCAAGCCTATGCAATATGTTGGCTTCCTGGGAAGTAATGATTGGTGCTTTCCACAAAGGAGATGTGTTATTAAACGTAACATTTTGCAGTAACTCAGTAGATTTTCTAGCTTCGTCGCCTGTGATGGCTAAGCACAGTCCTCTACTGACATACCAGTTTCTTTCACGCAACCTCCTACTATAAGTGTAGAGCAAGGAAAGACATTGTTTTTGACTTAACAGGTTGCTCTGTCCCCAAACTTCTGACATATAAAATAGTAATAGGAAAAACCCAAAATCAGCAGGCACTAGCATGAGAATGGCCCAGTAGAATTATTCTTATCATGGCTTAAGAAACTTTTTCTATAATACCATTGTCTTCACCTAAAATTTTATATTATTTCTCACAATTAGGACATAAGGGATTAGAGATTATTGTCATTATTTTCTAGATAAATTCAAGCCTTGCATTATTGACTTTCTTCAAAACACTGTGAAATCATGCTTGACCTGGAACAAGTAGCAAAGTCTATTTTTAAACAAAATAATTGTATGTTTATAAACACCCAAATATGTATTGATCTGGACAGATGACTCTCAAGTTTATTCATCACAAAATTTTAAAGCCAATATTAATAAATAATTTCCTGATCACATCTGCATTTTAGGAATTATTTAATAATATCCATTATGGATAAAAGCTTAAAGATAAACATTTTGAATTTGTTAAAAATCTATTTTGAATAAAATTAGAATATTATAAAACTGAAGACATGAAATTCTTAGATGGAATAAAGCAGAATAGAAAAATAGAGGTGAAAGTAATGTTTCTATGCACTAATAAGGATCAATAAAAGAGCATTGTACAACATTTTTAAGTGTCACTGACAAACAGCACATTTATTTCTCATTGCAAGATGTTTCATCTGTATGCAATGTAATTTAATGGTAATACAAGCTGAAGTATAAAATTTTTTTTAAATAGTGCTTTCATAAAACACTTTGGGGAGGATTGATCTTCTACATAGAATTTTGCAATTCCCCACACTTTAAATGAGGATTCTATTTCAATGATAAGAAACACACAAACACACACACACAGAATCACTCTAATTTTGTATTAATTAGAATTCATAATCAACTCGTAATATTTAAGTGTAGAGTTTTCAAATATACAAAACTCTAAAAAGAGAAAGACTGCTTTAAACAGAAAAGTAATAACGTACGTGCTTTTCATTTTTAAAGACTGCAATTTCAGTGTTGTCTAGAGCTTAGTGATAAAAATCCTTTCTAATTTGGTAACTAAAAAGGTCAAAAAAATAAGTAATGTAATGGGTCTGGACTTATTTCTAATAGTATGGAAGTACAAATAAAAGAAGCAAAACATGGGACGTGACAACAATAAAAAAGAAAACAAACACATTTTAACAACTTATTCAAGACTTTTAGTTCCCAAATTGAAAAGTGAAAATTGGTTTATAAACCACCAAAGTCAAATATTGATTAATTTTCCTTAAAATTCAGAACAATAAGCATATTCGGCTTAAAACTTTTAAGACTGAATGTGAAGAATTTCTCGAATTCATCACATGAGAAATGGTACAGAAAAGGAACCATTTTCCCACTGTAAGGGAGTATATATATATATCTATATATATCTTATATACTAACAACCACTAAGAAATGCATTCATTATAATTATTAGGACTTTTTTGTGTAAGCTAAAGGCCCATCTTGAAATGTATCTCTAAATCTCAGAGTAATTTTTAATTAAGGTTTAAAGGTTTATCATTGACATTTTTAAAGCATCAACACTGCCCAAGATATTTGTGGTAAACAGATCAGCATAGTCCTTGTCATCTGAAATACTATAGACTATGTGAATCATTATGACTGAAACTAATTTTTAAAATAAATAATCCAACCAAATTTTATATTATGAATGACTAGGTATATAATATGACTAATGTGTAACTTAAAACATAAGTTGTCTAATATGGAAGATGAACATATCTCACAAGTTAAGTGTGTTTTTAACAAGAAGATTGTTTTTAGGCTATTAAATATTCTGTGATTAAATTTATTTGTTAATAAATTTAAAAACGATAGTTTAGGTGTCATTATTTTTACTTACACAAATTCAATAATAATAAAAAATTATGTTTGCATAAATTCTTACTTTGAGTATAATTGAGTTTTTTAACATTATTTTCTGAATTAATGACTAGCAAATATTTTAATTAGTAAACTAAAACAATAGAAATAACTAGGCTTCTTTTACCACAAAATTAAGAAAACATACATTTTAAAGAAAAAAAATCTCCTCTTTGAGTTTCATAAATATTACTAAAATTTATCATGAGAACAATACCAAAACATGCTACATTATCACATACACACATATTTTAATATCTCCTTTATATTCCTAAAACAAATTTTAAGTACTAAATATGAGCTAGAAATATCTGGCTAAAAGTAAATGAGAATTCCAAATAACTAGATGATGGTTGAAGAGCTTATAGGTCAATAGAACTCACCATAAAATTCACAGTGTTGGCGTAACCTTTGTTGATCAAGTACCATGCATCAATCTATAATTGCCATTTACTTCAATAAAGAAGTAACAGTTGCAGTTTTATTATGCATAAATTTTAAAGTCATGTAATAAAGCTGCATTAATGAAGCCATTTTGAAATAAAAGTGTTATTTCTTGGAATAAATAAGAAGTGAAAACATTTTCAAAGACATTTGTTTAGAAATAATCAGATATCTTTACTACTAGAGTCAATTGAAATATAATATTGCATGTAAGTATCACTATGCATATGCATATATCTCCTCCTTAATTCAGTGAATTACAATGTTTATTATAGTTCCTAATACAAATAAAATCTGATCAGTCAAGATTCAATTCATCTGAAAACTGATGTTTATCCTATTCTTATGGGCTTTTTTTGTTTCTTTAAGAGACATGTTCTCACTCTGTAGCCCAGGCAGGAGTGCAGTGGAAAGATCATAGCTCAGTACAACCCCAAATTCCTGGGCTCTAGCAGTTATCCCATCTCAGCTAGGACTACAGGCCTATGCCACCTATAGCATGGACTAGCATATGCAACCGTGATACAGGCTAACTTTTGAGAACAAGTTTCTCATTTTCTTATGCAAAGCCACACAGTAGTTTATACTGAAGGTCACAGGATATGGCAGAATCAGCATGAAAAAAAATGAAATCAGTGTACGGAAGACTGTGGTGTCAAATTAATAAACCAATACCTCTTTGAATAATGCTAATTTTAAAAAATTCTACAAAATATGCCAAAAAGATTCAATTCTTCTTGATGTATAATTCAAATCACCCCAGTGAATCTCCTATTGAGTGCAAAACTAATATACTGTAGCAGTGTTGTACTTGTGTAGATTGCATAGAGTCTGAACTACAAAAATAATGAAGCTCGAATCAAATTTTCTATTCAAATTGTGTGTAAGGTTAAGGCTACTGTATTAGTTTGTTCTCATGCTGCTATAAAGAACTGCCCAAGACTGGGTAATTTATAAAGGAAAGAGGTTTAGTTGACTCACTGTTCCACAGAGCTGGAAAGGCCCCATGAAACTTACCATCATGGTGGAAGGAAAAGCAAACACACACTTCTTCACATGGCAGGAGGAAGGAGAAGTGTCAAGCAAAGGGGGAAAAGCCCCTTATAAAACCATCAGATCTCTTGAGAACGCACTCGTTATCATAAGAACAGTATGGGGGTAACTGTCCCCATGATTCAATTACCTCCTACCAGGTCCCTCCTGTGACATGTGGGGATTATGGGGACTATAATTCAAGATCAGATTTGGGTGGGGACACAGCCAAACCATATAAGCTACAAACAGAGAAGCTGCAATGTGATTAACATAATGAGCATCTTATTTGCAGTGAAATAAGTATTGCAAATATAAAATTAATTATGTATCCCTTTATATTAAAGTTTCTATCCATATTCCTCTGTGCCTTGAGTTTCAATAAAAATTAGGTTACTACTGGATCAAAGAAATATTAATTTGAAAATTGACAACAGCAAAAGTCATAATGTTGCCTTTATTATAGAGGTAACTAAAACCTTAGGAATCGAAACATTTTCACAAAATATGCAATTACCATTTTCTACATTAACAGAATTTTGGTTGACTGAACTCATGCAGTGCCATAATACCAGATGGCTTATTTTCTTTCATAGCCTAGAGTTGTACTTTTTTTTCCATTTCTGAAATTAACTCATTTTTCCTATTCTTCACAAAATCTTCCTAGTCCACAAGCTATTGGCTCTATTTTCTGCCCTTTTATTCAAGGGAAATCTTTGCAAAGGCTGTAATGGATACCACCTTCAAGTCTCATTTTTTTATGTTGACAGTGTTTATGCGCTTCAAAGAGCATAGAGTTACAACTTAAATTTTATCTAGAATAAAACGATTAGAGAAGTCAAGAACCAGAGCCCTTAGACAGTCATCCGATTCAGCATCCTCAATATACACATGAAGAATGACATCAAGAGAAATAAAATGACTTAGATCTGAGACTAACACAACAAGTTAGAGACATAAGTAGAATTAGAATTCATGTTTTCATTACCAAGGAACTCACATACTATTAAATGCCACCATTTACAGATCATTTCCAAGATATGAAAACAATACATATATCCAAAACTATTTGCTCAAGGAAAACTTTTATTGCAGGGAGTATCAACAGATCAGTGCTTTTAGATTATACATTTGGAAAATTCCAATTTAGATGAATACTAAATGCAATTTACCCCCTCATGTACACATCAACTGACAAGGGCAGAATAAGAGAAAATCATATTTTAAGAAATAAAATCTTGCTTTGGCAGATCCAACAAAATGATAATGCCTATTGAAAAATACTAATTAGCAAATTAACTTAGTCCTTAAGAGAAATAGAATATAATTGTTCCTTTTTGCTAAAAATATAAGGCAAAAATTTCCACCTCAAAATCTAGCCTTAATATTTTAAATTGTTCATGGCTATATAAAGCGAATCTAGCCAATCATAATAACTCCTTTTGGTAGCTACAATTAAAAGAATAATTCTGAGATATACAGAACTGGACATCTTACAGAAAAATTTATATATGATCACATTATATTTTCATTTGGTTTTCTGCAGGCCATCTGACTTCACTAATTACATTGTCAAACTATCCTAACAACACAAATGTCAATTTAAAATCCTTCTCAGTTAGTTTGGATATTTAAGATAACAAATTCTTTTTTTAAAGAATCTTTTTAAAGATTTTGCTGACTCCCAGAAAGAACTCAAGAAATATGAATTATGGAGGACTCAACTTTTCTCAAAAATAAATGTGGGAATAAAAATTGTTTCATGGTCCATTGAAAGTTCCTACTAAGGCACTGGTTACACTGCTTTGGGAGGTACATGAAGCAGTTATGATAATATACAAATTTTAATGATGATGAGAAATTCCCAAAGCAAAATTTTGAGGGCTGGATCCATTATTTTCTTCAGTTTGGCAAAGAAAATACTAAGAAATCAGTATTTCTAAAATATGCCTTTAAGCTATCCAAAATATTTGAAACAATTTTAGCTCTCAAACATTTCATATGTTTTAATACTCAATCTGTTCTTGAGAGGGTGAATTCTAAATTAAGGCCATTTTTAAATGGGACTTGGTGGTGTATCTGGTCTTTAGGTCCACAGTGAAATTGATTTGTAAAGCGTGTTCCTTTGCATGATTTTAATGCAGACAAAATACATGCCTCCAAGATAATAATGTACAATCTGTACATTGCTAAAAGACTTAAGTTTTAAAATTTCTTCCTTGTGAAATTGAAAATAAGTTTCTTCTAAGCAATTTACCCAATTTCGAAGCTTTGACTGTTTTGTCAACAAACCTTTTTGAGTTGTGCGCATAGAAATAAAACAGGGATAAAACTCAATCATATCTAGAGAGAGAATATAATTGAAGTTTTTTAGAATAAAAAATTTCAAAACTTTTTCTTTACATTTTCACCAACCTGTTTGCTCCATTACAAACTAATTTAAAAATCTGCTGTACTATAAAGAAAACAGTAGGTAAATAAAGTCTCTATATTGCATAAGTAAATGGACATGATATCAGGAAACAACTTTTACTTAAACACTTGAAGGTAGGCCATTTGTATATATTATTTTGAGAAATGTCTATTACAATCTCTTGTCTATTTATTAATCACTTTTTTTCCTATTGAGTTGTTTGAGCTCCTCATATATTCTGGTTATTAATTCCTTGCCAGATGAGTAGTTTACAAATATTTCCCCCCCTTCTGTGGGTTGTCTCATCACTTTGTTGATTGTTTCCTTTGCTGTGCAGAAACTTTTTAACTTGCTGTGATCCCATTTGTCCATTTTTTGGTTTGATTGCTTGTGCCTCTGGGGCATTGGTCAATAAGTCTTTGCCAAGACCAATGTCCTGGATAGTTTCTCCAGTGTTTTCTTGTAGTAGTTTCATAGTTTAAGGTCTTAGATTTAAGTGTTTAATCCACTTGGATTTGATTTTTGTATATAGCAAGAGATACGGGTCAAGTTTAATTCTTCTACATATGGATATCCAGTTTTCCCAGAACCATTTAATGAAGAGACTCTCTTTTCCTCAGTTTATATTCCTGGCACCTTTGTCAAAAATGAGTTCACTGTAGGTATGTGAATTTGTTTGTGGGTTCTCTATTCTGTTCCCCTGGTATATGTGTCTATTTTTATGCCAGTACCATGCTGTTTTGGTTACTATGGCTCTGTAGTATAATTTGAAGTCAGGTACTATGATTCCCCCAGTGTAGTTATTTTTGCTTAGCATAGCTTTGGTTATTCTGGGTCTTTTGTGGTTCCATATAAATTTTAGGATTATTTTTTCTATTTCTCTGAAGAATGTCATTGGTGTTTTGATAGGAATTGTAGATGGCTTTGGGTAGTATGGACTTTGTAACAATATAGATTTTTCCAATCTATGAATATGAAATGTCTTTCAATTTTTTTGTATCTGCCTCAATTTCTTTCATCAATGTTTTATAGTTTTCATTGTTTAAATCTTTTTTTTTTAACTCTGTACTTTTTATTGGCCTCCTGCTCCCCAAAGGGTACCCTGCTTCTGCTGGCTTAATGCCTCAGAACTTTGGTGTCGTTGGTCTCAGACACCACTTTGCCATCCACTCTCCGGCGGGTGGTGGTCTTTTGGATGGTTTGCATGGAGTTGCTGCTGTCCAAGGCATCACCAAGAATGAAGTCCTCGCCATCTTCCAGCAGGCGG
Organism: Homo sapiens; assembly: GCF_000001405.40. Lineage (NCBI taxonomy): Eukaryota > Metazoa > Chordata > Mammalia > Primates > Hominidae > Homo > Homo sapiens. The sequence goes on along the minus strand of NC_000024.10, from coordinate 5,574,280 downwards.
CGGTAGGTGGTGATCTCAGCCTCCAGCTTGACCTTGATGTTCAGCACGGCCTCATTACTCCTGGGCCTGGCGCTGTCTCTCTGCCCGGGTCTGTGCCAGCTCTGACTCCAGGTGCAGCAGGATCCCGATGAGCTGCACCATCTGAAGGGAGTAGCGGGCCTCCACCTCCCTCGGGTTGTTCTCCAAGCTGGCCTTCAGATTTCTCATGGAGTCCAGGTCGATCTCCAAGGACTGGACTGTACGTCTCAGCTCTGTGAGCGTCATCTCAGCAGCTCCAACCTCGGCGGACTGTGTGGTGACCACTGTGGTGTTCTCCTCAATCTGCTGAGGCCAGTATTTGTCTAGCTCCTCTCGGTTCTTCCCAGCCAGCTTGTCATATTGGGCCCGGATGTCTGCCATGATCTTGGCAAGGTCCTGAGATTTGGGGGCATCTACCTCCACGGTCAACCTAAAGCTGGCAATCTGGGCTTGTAGGCCTTTTACTTCCTCTTCGTGGTTCTTCATGAAGAGCAGCTCCTCCCTGAGAGCTTCAATCTCTGTCTCTAGCTGCAGTCAAGTGACATTGGTGTCATCAATGACCTTGCGGAGCCCATGGATGTCGTTCTCCACAGACTGGCGCATCGCCAGCTGTGTCTCATACTTGACTCTAAAGTCATCAGCAGCAAGACGGGCATTGTCAATATGTAGAACGATGCAGGCATTGTCCACAGTATTTGCGAAGATCTGAGCCCTCAGGTCCTCGATGGTCTTGAAGTAATGGCTCCAGTCTTTGACCTGGGGTCCCTTCTTCTCCAAGTGCTCCCGGATTTTGCTCTCCAGCCTACGGTTCTCAGTCTCCAGGCTCCTCTCTCTGTCCAGGTAAGAGGCCAGGCAGTCGTTCAGGCTTTGCATGGTCTTCTTGTTCTGGATGCCTCCCATTCCTGCCAGACCCCCAGCCATCCCCGCGGCCAGGCCCCCAGGCCCCATGCCGCCCCGGAAGCTGGTGGAGCGGACACGGAGATCCGGGAACCAGAGCCCCCGGCGCCTGCATAGACGCTGGCCGCGCTGCTGACCGGCCGGGCGCCGTAGCTGGGCGCCTGGACAGAGCCCAGTGACTGGTAGTTGGTGGAGAAGGTAGACCGAGTGGTGAAGCTCATGCTGTCCGGGGAGGAGAGAGATAGGACAGGACTCAGGCTTTGCCGACGATGGTGGCCCATTGTAGAAATCTTTCAAGTTTTTGGTTATTTACTCCTGGATACTTTGTTTTATTTTTAGCTATTGTAAATGGTGTTTCTTTTTTGGTTTCTTTTGCAACTTATTTGCTGTTGGCATATAGAAATGCTACTAATGTTTTTCTATGTATGTTGGATTTGTATCCTGCAACTTTACTAATTCCAATTTGTTTATCAGTTCCAATAGTTTTTTGGTGAGGACTTTAAGGTTTTTTTAAATATAAGATTACGTTGTCTACAAACAAGAATAATTTGACTTCTTCTTTTTCAATTTGAATGCCCTTTATTTCCTTCTCTTATCTAAGTAGAGAACTATGTTGAATAAAAGTGGTAAAAGTGCACATGCTTTTATTGTTCTTGATCTTAGAGGAAAGAGTTACAGACTTTCCTTGTTTGGTATGATACTAGCTGTGGGCTTAACAAATGTGACTTTTATTGTGTTGATATATGTTCATTCTATACCCAGTTTTTCGAGAGATGCCAATCAAAACTACAATGAGAAATCATCTCGCCCCAGTTAAAATGGCTTTTATCCAAAAGAGAGGCAATCACAAATTCTGGCAAGGGTAGGGATAAAAGGGAACGCTCATACGCTTTTGATGAAAATGTAAATTAGTACAACCACTATGGAGAACAGTATAGAGGATCCTCAAAAAACTAAAATTAGACCCACCATATGATCCAGCAATTCCACTGTTGGGTTTAAATCCAAATGAAAGAAAATCAGTATATCAAAGAGATATCTGCACTCCCGTGTTTATTTTGCAGCACTATTCACAATAGCCAAGAAATGAAAGCAATCTAAGTGTCCAATGGATGAATGGATAAAGAAAATGTGCTGCATATTCAGAATGGGTTATCATTCAGCCATAAAGAAAATGAAATTCTGTCATTTGCAACAACATGTATGGAGCTGAAGGATATTATGTTAAGTGAAATAAGTCAGACACAGAAAGACAAATGTTACATGTTTTCAATCATATATGGCAGCTAAAAAAAAATTTGAACTCAGTGGAGGTTGAGAGTGAAATGATGATTGCCAAAGGCTGGAAAGCATAGAGGAGACAGAAGGATAAAGTGAAGATAGTTAATGTGTACAAACATAGAGTTAGATAGCATGCATAAGATCTAGTATTTGGTGGCACAATAGGGTGACTCTAGTTAACAGTATTTTGTTGTTTATTTTTAAATAACTAAAAGAGTGGAATTGGAATGTTCCTAAAACAAAAAAATGATAAAGGCTTGAGATGATGTGTTCTCTAATTACCCTGACTTGATCATTATACATTATATGTCTGTATCAAAACATTACACATACCTCATAAAAATATACAACTATTATATACCCATAATAAAGTTAAAAATAACAAATAAAAATAAGCACTTGAAAGTCTTATTTTATTAGTGAATGTCAGTTTTGTAAGTTCTATAGCATATTTTCTCTTTCTGTATGTTCGTATGCCTTGCTAAACATATTAAGCTCTGCACACAACTTAGGACATAGTTTGGAAACAGAGATTTCATTTGAGAAGTACTTATATTGATCATATATTATATGCATGTCTATACTTATATTAATACTATATTATTTACATTTTCTATTACATGTAGCATATGTAACAGAAAACTGGAATAAGAAATAGGTCATATAATTACCATTTCAAAAATATCTATTTCAACTTTATTTTAGGCAGATGTTTACATGTTTTTGTATATGAAAGCATGTTTTTTAAAATCCATAAAGAAAAATTTGAACTTATTTCAATAATGTTCACTATCATAAATATTGCATTGTTCCCCCAAAGTAATGTTCTATTACTTTCACTTTAAAATTTGCTACAAAATGAGAAAGATAGTGATGTTTATTCATTGACAGTATTTTTCCTCCTAATACATCAGTTTAGAGAGATGCATCTGGATGGACAACTTATAAAACTCCAAATAAATTGATTATTTTATTATATAGATCTTAATATTTACATATAAAATATTTAAGGAGATGAAATAATTGAAACGAAAGTATAGTTTTGGAAGTGCAAGCTGACTTGATAATTCTCTTTATAAATATGTTTTCATAATCTCACATGTGATATTAGCATGGACTGAAGTTGTGATTTCTTGTAATCACAGTGAATTACTGACAGCTTAACAGTAGTACCATGCTGGCATTTTCAAAGAATTGGAGACTTTGATTTATTTTCTATATTTATATTTTTTCTCTCTAATATATATTTTATTGGGACTTTGTAACTGTATGAACACAAGCTTTGGCAGAAATTTTTAGTCTTGGAACCAACTGGTTATTTATATTTTGTATTGTAACACATGGGGAAAGGAGGGATCCTTGAAATCATAGGCCACATCTAAAAATACAGTCTCTGAATAATGCTATTGTTTTAACTATTAGGGAAATCATATCAAAGAAAAAATGAAAAATAAATGTATTAGAAAATTTATTTTCCATTATAACAAAGGAATGGAATAAAATCAAATCCGTTTGCTTGATATTGAAAGATATATGATTATTATTTTAGTTTAAATATAAATTATTTTAAAATTTACTGTTTAATGGCAATGTTCATGCATAATTGTTATCCACAGAATTACTTAGTTTTACATTTTCAAGTATCAATGGATAAACCAGACATATGGGAATTTGGCTACAGATTTTAGGAATAAACAAGAAAAGACATTTTCCATGTGGTGAAACATATTGGATATCTACTGTGGAGAACCAATCTTCTTAGATGATATGTTGATAAATATTTTATGTCAGCAAAGAACAAAGCATAAAAAGCAGTGCCACAAACATGAAGAGGAAGCAAAAATAGAAGCAAGCTATTTCAAACAGAATTAAATAAAAGCTTATATGCACAGGAAGAGGAGGGGGAGTATGAGGAACTTATTTTATCAGTCTGACAGATTAACTCACTGCAAAAGACATATTAAAAGATTTTTTGAATAAACCAAATGCTGTCTGCCTTAAAAATCATCTGCACTTCATGACTAGAAGATACAGATTTAAGGTAATGGCTCTTTGGATACTCAAAATATAAATATTATATTTTGGTATTTGTAAAAGGAGAGTATACCACTAAGAGATAAAATGTTGCCTAAGTTTTAGTTCTTATATAACAAGGAAGGAGATATACATCTTTAATACACTATAATTTGATTCTGCATTTGTCTGAGTTCCTATTAATCTCTCCCTTTACTTTGTTTCTTTAAACATAAAATGATGTTTCTGCTACACAGTTTGGAGAATTGACACAGAAATTAGTTCAAATACACATATTAATATTGCTAAGAATTTGACTGAAATTTAGTCTAAGAGAATATAACCATGACTAGCTAAGATATTTATTTAAACTATAAGCCAGTCCTATCCATTCCTCAAATGCACATTGTGCTCAGATGAAATATCATGTCCCATGATGAAAAATATATATCCCGGATCCCTAAGTAGCAATATTTTCCTATTCTCTTTCAATTTTTGTACTCTGTTGTACAAAGAATTACCAGTGTTCACTTATTTTGCATGGACATAACTCACTGAAAAACTTTCCAAAATGATTTTACTTTTAAAAAGTAGAATTAACTTCAAGTCAGCATGTACTTTCGCTTGTGGAAATTAAAGGGTATTTTTTATAATTTGCCAAAATTCCCAAAACACAATGTGAGTTTCCTAAAATACAACAATCAATTCTTCTGATTTTTCCCCTATAATTTGAAATCTTATACGAGAATTTCAAGTGTCAAGACAGAGAGAAATGTACTCATATCTTGAATAACAAATACATTTGGTTTAAGTAAGATTTTGAAATTATATTTTTTCCTACTAGAAGAGATTTTTTTAAGAATACAAATTATCCCCATAGGTTGACTAAGTTAAATAAGAATTTGTCATGTGATTTTGAATTAGATATGGATAAACTTCCTAATTCTTTTTTTAAATTTTCATTAAACTGTTGTTATTTCCTATAAATAATTAATGGAATAACTTGAAAAGGAGGTCATGTGTGGTGGCTCATGCCTATAATTCCAAGGCTTTGGATGGCTAAGGCAGGAGTATGGCTTGAGGCAAGGAGCTCCAGGCTAAAGTGAGCCATGATCACACCACTGCACTTCAGCCTGGGAGACAGAGTGAGACCCTGTCTCTAAAAATAAATAAATAAGCCAAAGTTAGTGCATCATTACATTCTTTCAACATTACACTATATACCAGTATTACTGAATTCTGAGGACCTTTCTCAAAATCCCTTCCTTTTGAAAAATGGGCACCATCAGGAATGGGCACATAATGTTCCCAGCTATCACTTGGCCCTTTAGCTAAAATAATTTAAATGAGATACATTGAGAAGAAGACATGATTAGCAATGAATTATATAATCTAAATCAAAGATTTAGGAGTCATAAAGGTATCACAGAATGTAGCACTGATACTAATAAAAACATGATGCCACAAAACACACAAGTGTTAACACAAATGCAAAACTTCCTGACAACAAAAGTCACTAAGAACAAATCCTTTACATAGGTGAAACTATTTTCTGGCAATATATAATCAAAACCCAGTCATATTCTAGGGAAAAAGGTACATGCAGAAGCAAATAATGCATTAACACATTTCCTCAAAATATTTTCTCAAAATTTTTGTGCAAGATTAATGTATATTTAGTTTACATAAGGTTTACATAAAGGATAAGCTAAAATTGTGTCGGGTATGATGCCACCTTAAATAATATTTGTTGAATTAATGAAAACATGTTGAAAGTTTAAGGGTCAATATGTCACAATTACCCTGTGATACTCATTCCAGCTCAGTGAAAAGGAACAAAGCCAAACCTAAGAATGAAAGAAAAAATTGTATTTCGTTCATGCCCATATCTAATCCATTTCTCACCCTTTTAAGACAAATTTCCTAAATAGTCTTTTTCTCAGACTTCTTTATAACCCATTTCTTTCATAATGAACATTCTTCTGCATCATCAACTTAGTTTTCCAAGCCATGAATTCTTCACCAATAAGAATTTCTGGAACACTGTACTGTACTGTTCATATCTTTTAAACTTAAAAAAAGAAAAAATATTTTTGCTAACTATGCCTGTTTGTGTAAAATTTCCAAATCTAAAACATCACCAAAATAAAGCATTTCTGACACTTGTTGAACCAAACATATTATTGATTATTTAGTATGTTTCAGGTCTTGCTATGTACCAAGAACACTGTGCTGAATAAATGACATTGTCCCAGACCCGACTTAGCACTTATTTTATATGTTTGTGTATATATATGTATTTAGATAGATACATATTTAGATACATATATATTTTACATATAGATATATAATATCTATATATACTGATTATATATAAATATGTATATATACACTACACATATAATTATATATAATTATAATACATATAATTTTATTATATGTTTAATTTATATCTGTATGAAGATATGCTAATTTACAGGCCTGTATTTAGCATTTTTGAGCAGTCTTTTCATTCTGTAATTAGTATGCTGTGTAACTAATTTCACTTCTGTGAGCCACTTTTTAAAATGGGCAGGTGAGGTGACATTTTTCTATAAGTGATTGATTCAAACTAATTATCTTTATACAAGTACAGATACAGATTATGGAACATCAGCCCACCGGAACTATTACTGTTATTTTAAATTTTACAATATATTCAATTTATATGCACACAAAGCAAGTAGGTACAGTTTTCATTGAAAATATTATTAATATAGCAAGAGTCAAAAGACCACACAAATTTCACCTGATTCGCAAATGCCTGCAATCACTTTACAAGCTCTGACTTTTAAGAATGTAGGTATTTTAAACGCTATTTCAAATCAAAGAAATACCTTCTTTGGTTTTCAGAAGACATGTAGATCATACACTGTCTCAGCAGAAAAAATTATTTAAAAATAATTTATTAGACAATAGAGAAAAGTAAAACACAGCACTGTATGTCGTACCATAAAAAGAAAAAAAAAAACATAATCTCATTCTGTTAACTAAATAGTTGGAGAGGATTCCATGAATATGCCTTTTGAATTTGATAGCATTTCTTGTGTCAAAATTTGACTACTGATTAGAAAGACAACTGACAGAATTTTCACATCTCTACCATTACATTGCTTACTTGGTATGCAACTTCCACAGACTTAATGTAGTTTGTAAAGTCAGTATACAGGAATTCATCTTCCTATAGTTTCATAAAATAATATTAATTCGGATGAAATTTAGAACAGATACTCACGACTACAATATTTGCTATGAGTTTCTATATGGTTGTCCTGTGTGATATGTGATATGGTGGTCCAAAAAAATGTTTATCATAGTGTAATTCACCAAAATAAGCCACTTCACTAGTTTGCATTGACTTAGCAATAAAGGAATTCATTTGTTCTCTATCATTAATATATAATCCCAAATTAATATTTAATACTGCATAGATTGTGTCATTACCGGTTACATTTATAAGACAGATTTAGGAGAAGTGGAGAAGTATTTGTCTACTTCAAACACTGTTATAAATATTGACATATCCATAAAAAGGCAACATAATTATAATTCCACATAAGTCATTCACTAAGAATGCAAGGTAACTTGTAAAAGAGGGGTAGGAGAAAATAACAAAAACTAAAATATGCGGGTAAAAGAAGGAAGACAAAGAGGGGCAGAATAAAATAACAAAAACAATAATACAGAAGTAAAAGAAGAAAGACCCAAATACTCCAAGTGCTATATTAGATCATATTTAATATTATATAATATATAAACTTGCTGGGGGTGGTGGCTCACGCCTGTAGTCCCAGCACTTTGGGAGGCCGAGGCAGGCAGATCATGAGGTCAGGAGATTGAGACCATCCTGGCCAACATGGTGAAACCCCGTCTCTACTAAAATACAAAAAAATTAGCTGGGTGTGGTGGGGCACGCCTGTAGTCCCAGCTACTTGGGAGGCTGAGACAGGCGAATTGCTTGAACCCAGGAGGTGGAGGTTGCAGTGAGCAGAGATCACGGCACTGCACTCCAGCCTGGTGACAGAGCAAGACTCCATCTCAAAAAAAAAAAAACATATATATATATATATTATATATATATATATATATACACACACACACACACACACATCTATATTATACAAACTACTATATATGTAATTTTTCTGTTTTTAGCAGCTTTGCAGTACAGTGCTCAAATATCATTTTAATACTTATGCTATCAGGATGGGCTCATCTTTCTTACAGAGAGTTCAAAATTATTTTCATTCTTATAGAAAGTTTTTGCTGTAGATGTTAGTGAGCTCAGAAATTAGTAGTTACTTGCTTGAGTTTATAAAGCTGTTAATATTTGAATCAAAATCGTATGGTTCGGATGAATATATTCTTTCTTTTGATAAATATTTGGTTTTGATAAATGAATTTCTACATGAATAAATATTCTCAGAAGGCATTTAGTCTGGATATAATATGGGTACATCTCTCTCTCTATCTACATAATTTGTCTATCCATATCCAAATACAGATAATATTAATATACAATAGAATTCACACATTTATGTGAACTAAAATATAACTTCACAGTCCTTCAGTTTTCATATCAGTTCCATGAATAACCTCAGATTAATAAATATATGATGATGTATAGTAGATGAAACTTTAATACCCATTTGAATCATTACCAGTCACCCTCCTGTTTCCTACATTTTGATTGTTAAACAAAACACAGAATTTAGTCTAGGGAGAATTTGATGTAATTAAAGGAAAATTTTCATTTCTGTCTGTCTACTAAAGTATTCTCCGATCATCGAATACTGTTAAGTAGTCAACTACAAACAAATTAGAATGCCAGAAGTTTGTGGCTCCTCGCTAAGTCAATCTGTATTAATCAGGTTTCATTGCTTTTCTTATCATGAAGTCTTTTTTATGTTACATTCAGCCTAACGAAGTCTTGAGAATATGCCTACTTAGCAAACACATTTTCTTACCCTGTAACGGAAATAATCGGTAGACTCAAAGATAAAACTTTACTTTTGTTCTCACTGGAACTCAAGTGGTGAATGATTGAAACACATTTTAAGGTTTTCCATTTAAATCAGTGGTTTTTAAAATTTGCATACACATAGATCAAATGGATAATTTTACAAAAATATTATTTCCAGGCTACACTCCCAGGGAAAATAATGATATTAGTAGGACATAGCATTAATATTTCTTTTTTGCCTTTTTAATTTTGGTAAAACATACATAAGATTTATATGTTATATGATGGATCTGCACATGAAAGTTTGAGGTACACTGATTTTAACTATTTAAAAAATTATGCAAATGTACTTGTTTCATTCAAAAATTCATACTTTTGATTAAAGGCTAGAGTTGCTGTCGTGTAGCAGTCGGGTTACTGTGAAGGTATGGGCAAACTGCAAACAAACTTCTTGAGATATTAGAATGATCAAAAATTAAGTTTAGATTTGTAAATACAATGGTAAGTTGTGAAATCTTCCACAATTGGATGTCCTACTCTGATATAGCAAATGCATCAATATTAATAAATTGGAAACTTTTTTGACAGGCCTCTACTTAACCAACTCATTTGATTAAATAAAGCTCATTATTCCCACAGTGAATAAAACATTGACTTGATGAAGTCAACAAGCTTTATGTCCTCACCTCAGCTAGGATGCCACTTTACAGTATACCCACTGACTTCTGAGCCAAAGCGAGTTTATGCTTAAGAAAAGTCAGATATTGTTTTAAAATACATTTACATGAGCTGCATTTGCTATTGCAACCATTTAATTTAATTAAAATCTCATATAACCCAATGAAATGTTAATATAAAAATAATTGCTTCAAAGAAGATGAAATTGAACTTTTCAGAAAGATTACAAAGGGCAAAATGCTGCAATGACTTGTCATAGAGTACTGTCTGAGCAAGAGAACTACAGAAGATTCAGAAAAAGTATCATAAAACTCTAGAAGCATTCCATACTCAGAACACTTTTCAAGAGCATTTAAAAACACACTCCATTTTATGGGAACAAAAACCGGACACTACATATTATGTAATATTGGTAGAGTGTATGTAATAAATATGGTGCATTGTGCTAAAATCAGTGAACATACATCCAAAGGCAAGGCAAAGATTCTACATCAAATTATGAAAGATAAATGTACACTTCTTTGTTTCAAGTATTTATTTATCATATATATGTAACATATATGAGATATGTATGCATTTCTTAATGATTTACCTGTTCATCTGATTGCTTTGATGAACCATCTTACCTCTGATTCTGACTGTGACTGTTAAAAGAGCGTCTACTGGAATTAAATGGGGTTATGTGCTTACCAATAAAATCTTGATGTTCCATAACCTTCTAACCAAAGATTTCTTAGCCTAGCATTGTGAACAAAATTTAGCTCTAATATCTGATATCTGAGGTTGTATTCTTGGTGTGTATTTCTTGAGTGTATATTTGTGTGAGGAAAATTTTCCCAATTATCTGAGATGGATACAATGTAATTGACTTTATCTTTACCATTTCATGAACTCTATAATAAAGTTATTATTTATTCAATATATGCAATATTGATTTTTTAAATTATACAATTATACTGTTCCAAAATTTTAAGAGAAACACTACGATACATTAGTATCTGTTACACCTACCATGTGCCAGGGGGTCTCTTTTTGTATGCATTTTATCTTTTCAACAACTCTCTGACATAAATACTATTTTCATTCCTGTTAAATCAATGGGGAAACTGAAGTTGAGATAGAAAGGTAAGTGACAGAGCTGAGATTCTAACAAAGAGTTGCTGACTCTAGAGCTTTTTGTGGGCTTAACTACTGCATGATAATGACCTCCAGAATATTTTCTGGCAGAATGGGCAAAGTGTGATGTAATTTGAGCTCTCATGTATGATTCAAATATAATCACGATACTGTGTGTTTTAACCCATGCTCTATCATTATTTTTTGTGAAATTTGTGCAAATAATCTATCCTTCTCCAGCCTCAATTTCCACATCTTTAAAATGGGGTATTTTTGTATATTATTATAAATGTTCACTTTAACTTTAAAAGAATTTTTACACTCATATCAGGGACTAAATTTTGAATTAATAGGTTGATCAGAAATTCAGTTTCTGTTGCTTGATGTTTCTTGGTCTTCCACTGTTCATGAGAATGATCAACCATCTGGGAATAGTGTGGTGACAAATAAAAAATATTCAGTTTAATAGTTTATTACAATTTCTTTTTTTTTTTTTTTTTTTTTTTTTGAGACGGAGTCTCGCTCTGTCGCCCAGGCCGGACTGCGGACTGCAGTGGCGCAATCTCAGCTCACTGCAAGCTCCGCTTCCCGGGTTCACGCCATTCTCCTGCCTCAGCCTCCCGAGTAGCTGGGACTACAGGCGCCCGCCACCGCGCCCGGCTAATTTTTTGTATTTTTAGTAGAGACGGGGTTTCACCTTGTTAGCCAGGATGGTCTCGATCTCCTGACCTCATGATCCACCCGCCTCAGCCTCCCAAAGTGCTGGGATTACAGGCGTGAGCCACCGCACCCGGCCAATAGTTTATTACAATTTCTAATACAGAAGATTGAAGCTGCTATACAAGAAGTTAATTTGAAAGTTGTGTACTTCTCAAATAGCTATGTTGCCCTGATTCTATTCAGTTGACTATTTGTTGAGATTTTTCTCTAAAAATAAAGATCTAGACTCCACCTGTAGGTTAATAATTGTAATCCATCAAGAAAGAGCAAAAAAATCAGAGCATGCCTATGCTGTTCTATCTTTTCTGAATCAATTTAGTAGCTGAAGGGTGTCAAACACTTGTTAAGCTTGGTAAATCGAAGTAATGAAATATTACATTATAAGAGGACTTTAGAAAAGTCCTATCTGCTACCGCACATTTAAGTGATGCCTATCTGAGGAACGCTAAAGTAATCTGCAAAAGAACAGATCTACTTATGTGAGTCATTCTAAAAAGATATGAAAAAATATGAAAATCTGTTGCTGTATATTTTTAAACATAATGCTTTTGCCAGCTAGCAAACAATAAAATTTCGGCTATAAGAAGTTACTGAAAACTATCAAAACCACATATACTACTTAGCCAAAACTTGGACTCCCCAAAATTCTTGAATTGTAAAGAGTTAAGCTAATTAAGTACCCTTTCTCCACCACACACACATATTCTTGGTGGCGTATATGCTCAGTCTCTTTAGTTATCATTTTAAAAGATAGAGGAAATTTCGTGTGTTAGTCCATTTTCACACTGCTAATAACGACATACCTGAGACTGGGTAATTTATACAGGAAAAGGGTTTAATGAACATACAGTTCTACATGGCAGGGGGTGGAGGGGGCTCACACTCATGGCATAAAGCAAGGACGAGCAAGTCACATCTTACATGGATGGCAGCAGGCAAAGAAAGAGCTTGTTCAGGGACAATCCCATTTTTAAAACCATCAGATCTTGTGAGACTCATTCAGTACCAAGAGAACAGTGCAGGAAAGACCCACCCCCATAATTCAGTCACTTCCCACTGGGTTCCCCCCACAACATATGGGAATTGTGGGAGTTACAATTAAAGATGAGATTTGGGTGGAGACACAGCCAAACCATATCATTCCACCCCTGGTGCATCCCAAATCTCATGTCTTAACATTTCAAAAACAGTCATACCTTCCCAACAGTCTCCCAAAGTCTTAACTCATTTCAGCATTAACTCAAAAGTCCACAGTCCAACATCTCATCTGAGACAAGGCAAGCCCCATTTGCCTATCAGCCTGTAAAATCAAAGGCAAATTAGTTACTTCCTAGATACAATGGGAGTACAGTCATTGGGTAAATACAACCATTTCAAATGGCAGAGATTGGCAAAACAAAGAGACTACAGGCCCCATGGAGGTCCAAAACTCAGCAGGGCAGTGAAATCTTAAAGCCCCAAAATGATCTCCTTTGACTCCATGTCTCACTTCCGGGTCATGCTGATGCAAGAAGTGGGTTCCCATGATCTTGGGCAGCTCCGCCTCTGTGGCTTGGCAGGGTACACCCTCCCTCCCAGCTGCTTTCATAGGCTGTTGTTTAGTGTCTGTAGATTTTCCAGGCATGCAGTGCAAGCTGTCAGTGGATCTACCATTCTGGGGTCTGAGGGACAGTGGCCCTCTTTTCACAGCTCCACTAGGTGGTGCCCCAGTAGGGATTCTGTGTGCAGGCTTCGACCTCACATTTCCCTTGCACACTGCCCTAGCAGAGGTTCTCCATGAGGGCCCTGCCCCTGCAGCAAACTTCTGCTAGACATCCAGGTGTTTCCACAAATCCCCTGAAACCTAGGCAGAGGTTCCCAAACCTCATTTCTTGACTTCCATGCACCCACAGGCCCAACATCACATGGAAGCTGCCAAGGCTTGGAGCTTGCACCCTTTGAAGCCATGACTCGAGCTGTACCTTGGCCCCATTTACTTGTGGCTGGAGTGGCTGGGATGCAGTTACCAATTCCCTAGACTGCACACAGCACAGGGACCTGAGCCTGGCCCACAAAGCCATTTTTAAATCCTAGACCTCTGGGCTTGTGATGGGAGGGGCTTCCATGAAGACCTCTCACATGCCCTGGTGACATTCTCCCCACTGTCTTGGTGATTAACATACAGCTTCTAATTAGTTATGCAAATTTCTACAATTGGCTTTCATTTCTCCTCAAAAAATAGTAAATTCTTTTCTATCAAATTGTCAGGCTGCAAAATTTCTGAACTTTTATATCTGTTTTCCTTACAAAACTGAATGCCTTTAACAGCACCCAAGTCACCTCTTGAATGCTTTGCCACTTAGAAATTTCTCCTGCTAGATACCTTAAATCATCTCTCTCAAGTTCAAAATTCCACAAATCTTTAGAGAAGGGGCAAAATGCTACCAGTCTCTTTGTTGAAACATAACAAGGGTCACTTTTGCTCCAGTTCCTCATTTCCATCTGACACCACCTCAGCCTGGACTTTATTGTGCATATTGCTGTCAGCATTTTGGGCAAAGCCATTCAACAAGTCTCTAGGGAGTTCCAAACTTTCCCACATTTTCCTATCTTCTTCTGAGCCCTCCAACTGTTCCAACCCCTGCTTGTTACCCAGTTCGAAAGTCACCTCCACATTTTCAGGTATCTTTTCAGCAGCACCCTACTCCTGGAACCAATTTACTGTATCAATCCATTTTCATGCTGCTCATAAAGACATACCTGAGACTGGGTAATTTATACGGGAAAGGATTTAATGGACTTACAGTTCCACATGGCTGGGGAGGCCTCACAATTATGGTAGAAGGCAAGGAGGAGCAAGTCACATCGTATAGGGATGGCAGCAGGCAAAGAGAGGGCTTGTGCAGGGAAACTTCCGTTTTTAAAGCCATCAGATCTTGTGAGACTCATTCAGTATCACAAGAACAGCACAGGAAAGGCCTGCCCCATAATTCAGTCACCTCCCACCAGGTTCCTCCTCCCACAACATTTGGGAATTATGGGCATTAAATTCAAGATGAGATTTGGGTTGGGACACAGTGAAACCATATCATTGCATATAACATATTCAAGGCAATTTTGTACAATATTCTAGATAGTACACTCCTGAGTCCATTTAATCCAAAAAGAAGTACATTATTTGCACACTATATAGGAAAGAGGCTGCACATGATACAGAATCATTTAAAATATTGGTTGATACTCAGAAAGTATTCTTTCTTTTTTTTAAATTCTGCTTTGTGATGCCTTGAAGGAGAATTTCTAAGATAAAAATGTAGGTGTTATTAAGTAATAATAAGAATTTAAAATCTGGGCTGGCTTTGGTGACATATTGAGACATGACACAAAACCAATAATATGAGGTTAAATTAAGGAGTTCACCTAAGTTGAAGGCATTTGCTAACATGTTCTTTCAGAATTATTATGGAATCAAAGAGTAGGAACAAAAGCATAATTTTCTAATCCAGTTTGCTTTTTCATTACAAATCTGAATTTTAGTTATTTGTGACACTGCTGAAAATTCTACTCTTAATCACATTCAAGGGATATTCTATAATATCCCATATATATTTTTTCAGCAGTGTATCTTACTAGAAAGAAGCAATTCCTCAGAGCTAGCATAATTTTTAATTATAATTTAATTCAATTCAACATTCTCTCCTATATCTAGTGAAAATAAAGTACACTTGATCTTAAATATCCTAGTTTCATTAAGTACTTACAATATTAAAAACAGTTTTAAAATCGGTTTTAGACTTCTCCTGATTCCTTTAAACTTTTCTTATGCATTAAGTTTTCCCAACTTAATTGTTTTCTTGGTCTGTTCTGAAAAAATATTCTTTTAGTTTTTTAACCCCTCATAATTTATGATGCATTCTTGATGTGAACTCTTAAAATCCATGTTGGAACTAACTTGTATTTATATCATTTTTTTTTCAAGCAAGTTGTAGTATTTTAAAATATAAGATCTCCTCACAGAAATATACATGATCCTCTGGGATTATTAAGAACAACTCTATGCACATGAACTAGATGACTAGATGATCTAGAAGAAACTGACAAATTCCTGGAAACATACAATCTTCCAAGATTGAATCGGGAAGAAGTTGAAATCCTAAAGAGAGGAACATCAAGTTCCAAAATTGAATCAATAGTAAAAAACCTACCAATCAAAAAAAAAAAAAAAAAGAAAAAAAGAAAAAAAAAAAAAAAAGCCCTGGACCAAACGGATTCACAGTTCAATTCTACCAGAAGTACAAAGAAGAGCTGGTACCAATTCTACTGAAACTATTCCAAAAAATCAAGGAGAAAGAGCTCCTCTGCAGCTCTTTCTAAAATACCAGCATCACCCTGAAAACAAAACCTGACAAAGACACAATAAGAAAAGGAAACTGTAGGCCAATATTCTTGATAAACACAGACATGAAAATCCTCAACAAAATACTAACAAATGGAATCTGACAGCACATCAAAAAGTTAACTTGTCATGATTGAATAGGCATTATTCATGAGATTGCAAGGTTGATTCAACATACACAAATCAATAAATGTGATTTACTACATAAACACAATTAAAAACAAAAACCATATTGTCATAAACTATTTTTCTCAATAGATGCAGAAAAAGCTTTTGATTAAATTCAACATCCCTTCATCATTAAAAAAAAAATCCAACAGACTAGGCATCAAAGGAACACACCTTAAAACAATAAGAGCCATCTATGACAAACATGCAGCCAACATCATATTAAATGGACAAAAGCTGGAAGCACTCCCTTTGAGAACTGCAACAGGACATGAATGCCTACTATCACCACTGTTATACAACATAGTATTGGAAGAGCTAGCCAGAGCAATCAGGAAAGGGAAAGAAACAAAAGACAACCAAATAGGAAAAAAAGAAAAGAGTCAAACTACCACTGTTTGTGGTTGACAAAATTCTATATTTAGAAAACCCTAAAGACTCTGTCAAAAAGTTCCTGGAACTGATAAAGAACTATGGTAAAGTTTCAGGATACAAAATCAATGTGCAAAAATCAGTAAATTTTTACACTCCTTCCCAAAAAAACATTCAAGCTGAGGGTCAAATCAAGAATGTCATCTCATCTACAATAACCACCAAAAACATAAAATACCTAGGAACACATCTAACCAAGGTGAAATATCTCTGCAAAGAGAACTACAAAACACTGCTCAAAGAAATCAGAGATGACAAAAACACATGGAAAAACGTTTCATGCTCATGGATTGGAAGACTTAATACATTAATATGGCCATACTGCCCAAAGCAATTTACAGATTCAACACTATTTCTATCAAAATACCAACATCATTTTTTACAGAACTAGAAAAAAAAACTATTCTAAAATTCATATGGTACAAAAAAGAGCCTGAATAGCAAAAGCTATGTTAAGCTAAAAGAAAAATACTGGAGGCATCACATTATCTGACTTTAAATTACACTATGAGGCTACAATAAAAAAAATAGCATGATACTAGTACAAGAACAGTCATGTAGACTAATGAAACAGGATAGAGAACCCAGAAATAAAGCTGCATACCTACATGAAACCATCTTATCTTCAACAAAGTCAACAAAATTAAGCAATAGGGAAAGGACTCCCTATGTTATAAATGATGCTGGGATAGCTGGCTAGCCACATGCAGAAGAATAATGGTAGATCCATACCTTTTACCACATACAAAAATTAACTCAAGATAAGTTGAAGGTTTAAATGTAAAACCTCTAACTATAAGAATCCTAGAAGAAAACCTAGAAAACACCATTCTGGAAATTGGCCTTGGGATATAATTTATGGCTGCATTCTCAAAAGTGATTACATCAAAAACAAAAATTCACAAGTGGGAACTGATTAAACTAAAGATCTTCTGCACAACAAAAGAAACTATCAGCAGAGGAAAAACACAAACTCCAGCATAGGAGAAAATATTTGCAAACTATGCATCTGACAGAGGACTAATATCAAGAATCTATCAGAGGACTAATATCAAGAATCTATAAGAAAGTTAAACAAATCAACAAGCAAAAACCTAATAACAACCCCATTAAAAATAGACAATGGACATGAACATACACTTCTCATAAGAAGACATACAGGTAGCCAACAAACATGAACAAATGCTCCATATCACTAATCATCAGAAAATGAAAATCAAAACCAAAATGAGATACCATCTCATACCAGTGGGTTGCAAAAAATGCTCCATATCACTAATCAGAAAAATGCAAATCAAAACCACAATAAGATACTATCTCTATCTCACAACAGTCAGAGCAACTATTATGAAAAAGACAAAAAACAACAGATGCTGGTGAGGCTATGGAGAAAAGGGAATGCTTATACACTGGTGGTGGGAATGTAAAGTAATTCAGCCACTGTGTGAAGAAGCTTGGAGATTTCTCAAAGAATGTAAAATGGAATTATCATTTGACACAGCAATCCCATTACTGGGTATATACTCAAAGAAATATAAATTTTTCTACCAAAAAGACACATGCCAACAGCATGTTCGTTGCAGCAATATTCACAATAACAAGACATGGAATCAACCTAGGTGCCCATCAGTGATGAACTGGATAAAGGAAGTGTGTTATGTATACACTGTAGAATACTACACAGCCATAAAAGAAAGGAAATTATGTCCTTTGCTATGAAATGAATGCAACTGGAGCCCATTACCCTAAGTAAAATAATACAAGTACATAAACCCAAATAACACATGTATTAGTCCATTTTCACACTGCTGATAAAGACATACTCAAAACTGGGCAACTTACAAAAGAAAGAAATTTAATGGACTTATGGTTCCATATGGCTGGGGAAGCCTCACAATCATGGTGCACATCACATCTTACATGGATGGCAGCAGGCAAAGGAATAGCTTGTGCTAGGAAACTCCCCCTTATAGAACCATCAGATCTTGTGGTACTTATTCACTATCATGAGAGCAGCATGGGAAAAGCCTGCCCCCATGATTCAATTACCTTCCACCCAGTTCCCTCACAACACATGGAAACTCAAGATGAGATTTGGGTGTGGACACAGCCAAACCATATCATTCCACCCCTGGCCCCTCTCAAATCTCATGTCCTCATATTTAAAAAACAATCAAGCCTTCCCAACAGTCCCTCAAAGTTTTAACTCAAAAGTCCACAGTCCAAATTCTCATCCATGAAAACGCAAGTCCCTTCTGCCTATGAGTGTGTAAAATCAAAAGCAAGTTAGTTACTTCCTAGATACAATGGGGGAACAGGCATTCAGTAAATACAGCCATTCCAAATGGGAGACATTGGCCAAAACAAAGAGGCTACAGGCCCCATGCAAGTCCATAATCCAGCAGGGCAGTCAAATCTTAAGACTCCAAAATGATATCCTTTGACTCCATGTCTCACATCCAGGTCACACTGATGCAAGAGGTAGTTCCCATAGTCTTGGAAAGCTCTGCCCCTGTGACTTGGCAGGGTACAGCATCCCTCCCAACTGCTTTCGTGGGCTGGTGTTGAGTGTTTGTGGCTTTTCCAGGCACACAGTGAAAGCTGTCAGTGGATCTACCATTCTAAGGTCTGAAGGACTGTAACCCTCTTCTCACAGTTCCACTAGATGATGCCCTAGTAGGGACTCTGTGTGTGGGTGCCGACCCCACATTTCCCTACCACACTGCTTTAGCAGAGGTTCTTCATGAGGGTGCTGCTCCTGCAGCAAACTTCTGCCTGGACATCCAGGCATTTCCATACATCTTCTGAAGTCTAAGGCAGAGGTTTCCAAACCTCACTTACTGACTTCTGTGTACCCACAGACTCAACAACAAGTGAAAGCTACCAAGGCTTGGGGATTGCACCCTCTGAAGCCATGGCCCAACCTCTACCTTGGCCCCTTTCAGCCATGACTGAAGCAGCTGGGACACAGGGCACCAAGTCCCTAGGCAACACTCAGCATGGGAACCCTGGGCCTGGCCCATGAAACCATTTTTCCCTCATAGGCCTCCAGGAGGAGGCTATGTGATAGGAGGGGCTGCCATAAAGCCTCCTGGTGTGCCCTGGAGATATTTTCCCCATTGTCTTGGTGATTAACATTTGGCTCCTAGTTAATTATGCAAATTTCTGCAGCTGGCTGAATTTCTCCTCAGAAAATGGGAATTTCTTTTCTATCAAATTGTCAGACTGCAAATTTTCAGAACTCTTATGCTCTGCTTTCCTTATAAAACTGAATGTCTTTAACAGCACCCAAGTCACATCCTGAATGCTTTGCTGCTTAGAAATTTCTTCCACCAGATACCCTAAGTCATCTCTCTAAAGTTCAAAGTACCACAAATCCCTAGAGCAGGGGAAAAGTGCCATCCATCTCTTTGCTAAAAGATAACGAGTCAACTTTTCTCCAGTTCCCAACAAGTTTCTTATCTCTATCTAAGACCACCTCAGCCTGGACTTCATTGTGCATATTACTATCAGCATTTTAGTCAAAGCCATTCAACAAGTCTCTAGGGAGTTCCAAACTTTCCCACATTTTCCTGTCTTCTTCTGAGCCCTCCAAACTGTTCCAACCTCTGCCTGTCAACCAGTTCCAAAGTTGCTTCCACATTTTTGGGTATCTTTTCAGCAGCACCCCACTCTACTGGTACCAATTTACTGTATTAGTCTGTTTTCACACTGCTGATAAAGACATACCTGAGACTGGGCAATTTACAGAAGAAAGAAGCTTACTGGACTTAACAGCTCCACATGGCTGGAGAGGCCTCACAATCATGGCAGAAGGCAAGGAGGGGCAAGTCACATCTTACGTGGATGGCAGCAGGCAGAGAGAGCTTGTGCAGGGGAACTCCTCTTTTTAAAACCATCAGATCTCATGAGACTTACCCACTATCAGGAGCACAGCATGGGAAGGTCCTGCCCCCATGATTCAATTACCTCCCACCAGGTCCTCCCACAATGCATGGGTATTCGAGATGAGATTTGTGTGGAGACACAGCCAAAGAATATCACCACATGTTCTTACTTGTAAGTGAGAGCTAAACATTGGGCACTCATGAACATACATATGGCAACAACAGACACTGAGGACTACCAGAGTGGGGAGGGAGGGAGGGATGCAAAAGTTGAAAAACTATTCAGTACCATGTTCAGGACCTGGGTCATTTGTACCCCAAACATCATGCAATATACCCAGGTAACATACTGCACATGTACTCCCTGAATCTAAAATAAAACTTCTAAAAAAACCATTCAAGATCTTGTAAATTAGAATAAATTATTGGAAAAAAATGGTTTCTAAAAAGAAAATTTAATCTTTGACATTATTCAGCACTAAAAACAAGGCTGACACTGGAGAATACCAAGAGGAAAAGCATGTTCACACTCCATAATAAAAGAGAATAAAATTGTTTTTTTAAAAAACTAGCTATCAAAACATTGTCATTAAGTATAATTATCAAGTAAAAACGGCTCTGAAATGTAACTGTTTGTACTCCATTCTCCTATGTAATTTCCGATAATTCATAA
Organism: Homo sapiens; assembly: GCF_000001405.40. Taxonomy (NCBI): domain Eukaryota; kingdom Metazoa; phylum Chordata; class Mammalia; order Primates; family Hominidae; genus Homo; species Homo sapiens. The sequence continues at coordinate 5,553,020 of NC_000024.10, read as the reverse complement.
CATCTTGTGGTTTATTGTTTTTAAAAAATCTTTAGTCTTCCAAAGATTGTTTAAGTGTAATGTTTTGTTGGGAATCATTTTGCTTAGACTGTCTCCAATGCATAAGTAGATGCAAGCAGAAGAAAGGATAGTAGGAAGGAAGGAAGGGAGAGGAAAAGAATGGAGGAGGAGGGGAGAGAAAGAGCTGAAATTTTGAAGTTGATATCTGTTTGTGTACCTAAACCTGAACTCTCAAGAAGTTCATAAAAATGTTTAAAATAAGTCAAGCAGTGATTATTTAAATAGTTTATGTCTTTATACATAGAAAAATCTTTTAGCAAGTTTTGATTTATAAACTCAATCACTTTTTCATACTTTCCTAGATATATTTTTCAAAATTATAATGGTTTTAGTACTATATGCAAGCTGACTTGATCCACAGCCATCCAGAATAGCTGCATGGTTTGGTCATTCATTACATGGAGGAAGATCCTATGGCTCTGATTCCATCTAAGGTCTGTCCATATTCCTCCAAATTCAGGTCACATTTTGTTTTCCTTTTAAGCTTTGGCTTCCATTTCAGTATAACAGAGATAAACACAATCCAAAGTAATTGCTAGGATAATATATAAGCTTAATTGTTATTATTGTAGCCCACTTGGTGTTCTTACCTTCAGAGGTATGACCCTAAAGACACTTCTTTACTACTTCTTTCTTATGACAGTTCATAAACTCAGTTTAATTACATAAATGCCATTAATTGACAATAACACCTAGGAAACCCAAATGAATTCTGGGTTACATATTTATGCATAGTCTGATATTTGTTGAAATTCCAGATGTCTCCTGTGCATTTTTCTAATACAAAAGTATTAAAAATTCTATTCATGTCTACTTCTGGTGTCATGACATATACGTCCAAGTAAGTCCAAGTATATCAAGTTTACTGTGGAGAGGAGGAGAAATATCTTTTTCTCACCCATATTAATCTCATGTCTTAGGCACTATAGCAAAAGACTAACAAGGAAAAAGCATACAAATCTGTTCAGTACAACTTTCATATGACATGGGGACTGTAATAAGGAAATGAAGACCCATAAAAACAGGTAAACTTGTGTATTTTTATGCTTATGTTTGATGAAGAGTGAATAATTATGGAGAAATAAATGGACAAAGTGGGGTAGATCCAATGGTGACTGAAGGAAACTTAGCAAGACCTGCTGGTTCAACTCCTTCTCTGTGACCCTTCATCTTCAGATATAAAAATATTCTTTTCTTCTGGGTATAAGAAGGGTACCTTTCTATTGAGTGTCTTATGACCTGCTTCAGGGAACAGTCAGAAAATCCTTCCTAGGTTTTATGGCATGCTTCAAGTAACAAGGAGAGGTGGGGAGGAGTTGAGACTGACCTTCCTGCTTCTGCTGTTTTCTCAAATTACTTCAGCTGAAAATATTCAGTATGACAAGGTATCATATTTTGGAGTAGAATATCCTGAACTTTGTCAACCCCAATAAATGATACATAATTAACATTTTAAATTAAATTCAACAAAATAATCAATTCCCTTAATAATAACTGCTTTGAGTGAAAGCAACAGCACCGAGGGAGTTTTTAAAATCATATTGTGTGTCTTATGTTTACTAAAATACGTGTTTATGCAATATACATGCAATTTTTAAAACAATAAAAGACATCATTCAGGATACATGTTGTCTGGTACTTTTGTCATTAGAGTAGAATTAAGGAAAGGACAATGTGTAGGCAAGGGTGCTTGACTGAGTTGAAGATGGAATATATGACTCTCAATTTACTTACAACATCAAATTTCTATAGACTCTAAAATATTGTGTTCGCTTACGTATGTCTTACTACCTATCAGATTAAGTTCAAAGCACACAACTGGCCATTTTTGGCAGCACCCAATTTTCGATGCGTTACTTAGCAGTAGGTGCATTACTTAGCAGTAGGTCCCTTATTGTTTTCAATACAATTAAATCATGCTGTCATCTGTCTTGTTACCTATAGCTGTATTTTTTAAATCTTTTTCATTATTTTCTCTGCAAGGTTTAGTCATATTAGGGCTTAAAGCAGGGTCCTTTTCCACCCTTGGGTTCATTCAGACTAATTATCAATTATCTTTTTCCCTTACAAGAATACCTTAAGGGAGAAATATATACTAGACAGCAGCTAGGAAAAGTTCTGCACCTGTTGCAGGACTTCTGTTTCCATGTAAAACAGTGGGCCATTCCATGTAAGAAAGCTTTTCTTCTGCTTACTTAAGACTCAAAAGCAATAATAGTACAGTGCCAGAGCACATGATACACTTAATAGAAGTGAGTGAAATTAATTAATGAGCAGATGCTAAGTTTAAAGAGAGAAGGAAGGGGACATATGGACAATTTAAAAATTATAGTCATATTTGTTTTTCTGTTATAAGGTCAATTATGTATTTAAGTAAGGTAATTTATCCTTCATTATCAGTATCTGGCTTTTCAAAATTACATTTTAAATATCTTGTTTATCTTAGTAGAGATCCACTGAAGCTCAGACTATAAAATTTTACCAACATCTCTAGAAAAGACATAAAATTTTACTAAAATCATTATTTGGTTATCTTTAGTTAGAACTATAAACAGAATCCTGACTTCCTATTTTGAGTGGTTAAACTAATTCCTGTTCTGCATGTTAAACTTCAGCCTTAATACAAACCATACACACATATGCACATCTACTATCCTTGCCACTTCATGTTTTCATTTTCAAATTTTTGTGCGTACAGAGTAGGTGTATATATTTATGGGATACATGAGATGTTTTGATACAGGCATGCAACATATAATAATCACATCGTGGAGAAACGGGTATCCATCCCCTCAATCATTTATCTATCCTTTGTGTTACAAACAATCAAATTACATTCTTTTTTTTTTTTTTCAACCTTTTATTTTAGGTTGGAATACATGTGCAGGTTTGTTATATAGGTAAATTCGTGTCATGGAAGTTTGCTGTACAGATTATTTTGTTGCCCAGGTACTAAACCTAGTACTCAATAGTTATTATTTCTGCTCCTCTCCTTCCTCCAAAACTCCACCCTCAAGGAGGCCCCCTTTGTCTGTTGTTTCTTTCTTTGTTCATGAGTTCTCATCAGTTAGTTCCCATTTATAAGTGAGAATATGTTGTATTTGGTTTTCTGTACCTGCATTAGTTTGCTAAGGATAATGGCCTCCAGCTTTATCCATGTGCCCACAAAGGACATGATCTCATTATTTGTATGACTGCATAATATTTCATGTGTGCCAGGTTTTCTTTATCCAATCTGCCATTGATGGGCATTTAGCTTGATTCCATGTCTTTACTATTGTGAATAGTGCTGCAGTGAACATTTGTGTGCGTGTTCCTCTATGTTAGAATGATTTTTATTCCTCTGGGTATACACCCAGTAATGGGATTGCTGAGTTAAATAGTAGTTCTGTCTTTAAATCTTTGAGGAATTTCATACTGCTTTCCATAATGGTTGAACTAATTTATACTTTCATTAACAGTGTATAAATGTTCCCTTTTTTTCCATAACCTCACCAGCATCTGTTATTTTTTGACTTTTTAATAAAAGCCATTTTGACTGGTGTGACATGGTATCTCATTGCGGTTTTGATTTGCATTTCTCTAATGATTAATGATATTGAGATTTTTTTCATATGCCTGCTGGCCACATGTATGTCTTTTTTAGAAAAGTGTCTGTTCATGCCCTTTGCCCACTTTTTCATGGGGTTGTTTGTTTTTTTCTTATAAATTCGTTTAAGTTCCTTATAGATGCTGGATATTAGCCCTTTGTTGAATGCATAGTTTGCAAAAAATAATTTACTCTGTGGGTTGTCTGTTTACTCTGTTGACAGTTTCTTTTGCTATGCAGGAGCTTGTCACTCAGTGCCTTTTAAGTGGGATATTTAGCCAATTTACATTCAATGTTGGTATTGATATGTGTGCGTTTGGTCCTGTAATTGTGTTATTAGCTGGTTATTATGCTGGCTTGTTTGTGTGATTGTTTTATAGTGTCACTGGTCTGTGTATTTGAGTGTGTTTTTATATAGGCTGGTAGCAGTCTTTCCTTTCTATATTTAGTGCTCCTTCAAGATCTCTTATAAGACAAGTCTGGTGGTAATGAACTCCCTCAACATTTGCTTATCTTAAAAGGACCTTATTTCTCCTTCCCTTAGGAAGCTTAGTTTGGCTGCATATGAAAATGTTGGTTGAATTTGTTTGTTTGTTTGTTTACGAATGTTGAATATAGGCCCCCAATCTCTTCTGGCTTGCAGGATTTCAGCTGAGAAGTCTGGTGTTAGCCAGAAAGGATTCTCTTTGTAGATGATCTGCCCCTTCTCTCTAGCTGCCATTCTTTCTTTTATTTTGACCTCAGAAATTTTGATGATTATGTTTCTTGGGGATGATCTTCTTGTGTCTGATTTTTTAGGGGTTCTCTGTATTTCCTGAATTTGACTGTTGGCCTCTCTAGCAATATTGGGGAAATTTTTATGAATGATAGCCTGAAATATGTTTTCAAAGTTGTTTGCTTTCTCCCCATACCTTTCAGGGATGTCAATGATTAGTAGATTTGGCCTCTTTACATATGCCCATATTTCTCAGAGATTTTGTCCATTCCTTTTTATTCTTTTTTTTCTTAATTTTGTCTAATTGTCTTATTTTGGAGAGCCAGTCTTCAAGATTTGAGATTATTTCCTCATGTTGGTCTATTCTGCTGTTATTCCACTATTTCGGCTTTCAACTCCTGTATCATTTTATTATGATTCTTAGTTTTCCTGGATTTGGTTTTGCCATTCTCCTGAATCTCCGTGATCTTTGTTCTTATCCATATTCTCAATTCTATGTCTGTCACTTCAGCCAGCTAAGCTTGGTTAAGAACCCTTCTTAGAGAACTGATGCAGTCATTCATGGACATATGACACTGGCCATTTGAGTTACCAGGGTTCTTGTGTTGGTTCTTCCTCATTTGTGTGTGTGGGTGTTCCTTTAACTTCAGTGTAGATTGAGTCGATAGACTTCTTTTCTGGATGTTTTCTGCCATGATTGTGAGGTCTCCCCAGCCATGTGGAACTGTGAGTCCATTAAACTTCTCTTTCTTTATAAATTCCCCAGTCTCAGGTATGTCTTTTTCAGGGGCATGAAAACGGACTAATACATCTGTCTCTACAAAGAATAATAATGATAAAAAAAAATTAGCTACTTGAGAGGCTGTGGCAGAAGGACCTCTTAAGCCCAGGAGTTGGAGGGTACTGTGAGCTATGATCATGTTACTGCACTCCGACCTAGGTGACCAGTCAAGTCCTTGTCTCTTAAAAAGAAAAGAAAATTTAAATTTTGAGTGTGGCTGTACATCATTACTTCAGGTATTCATTAAGTGAATATACGTTTTTAAAAATTCACTCTTCTTCTTTACCCTATAAATTTAATTCATTATGAGTAAACATATTTAACATAGTCTGCCAGAGACTGATACTTACATTTTGTCTTTTCTTCTCTTAAGCTATGTCAATGAAAAAAGTAGTATCATGTAATTATAGAATCTTACTAAGATTAGTGAAAAATATGTTTGATAGTTATGAAAGATAGTTCATTTGTGTTCTTTTCATTAAGCTTCTTTTTGTTAAACCAAGTGTTAAACAGCATATGGGTAAATGGCAAAAGTCTTTGCACACTATGGCATGAATGTACAAATAGAAAATCTGTTAAATAGGAAGATAGATACATAGATAGATAGATAGATAGATAGATAGATAGATAAAATTTAGGTTAAAATACATCTATAAGGATCTTGTGCTTATGCTTTTTGATCTTAGAAGATGAAAAAATAATATAATGGACCTGACCTTGAATTGTAATAATCCCCCTTGGATCCCAAGTAAGTAGCTTACTCTAGGCAAAGTGAGTTTGCTTTTGGTATTCTGCTTATAGGAAGGCTACTGTGTGTTCAGAACCTTTTCACACTGCTTCACAAGTCACATCACTAATGCTTTTTGATTATGAAAGGACAGGCACGTGTCAATTTGCTTCCATACTGTAAGTCTTGATATATCAACAAAAATGAAGACAAGAACAATAGTTATCATTACTGTTCAAGTAAAAGACTTCAAGCACTATTCAAGGAGCTTTACATACATTATATCATTTGTCCTGCACATCTACCCTCTGTTATATCCGTTTTATAAGAAAATCAGGATTCACTTTCAGGACTGATTCCAACCTCATGTTTTTTACACTATTCTACACTAAGGGTCATTTTTGTAATCAATTACAAGTCCCATAACACTGACATTTTGGCAACACCATGTCAACTTTACTCTTCACACAGATGTTCTCAGAGCATAAAATCTAAGAGAAAGGAATAGAGCATATGGGACCTCTTCCAGCTGCCTTTCATCTCCTTCATATGTTCATAAGACTTTCTGTTAATAATCCTAAAGGGTGAGTGATCCACACTGTGAGTGTAGGCCACAAGAATATGTTTCCAAAATGTTGGAGCAACCAGGAAAGAAGGTTGAACACTGTTTAATATTACTATCACTGCAAATAATAGGAATTATTTATATGCTAACTATTCATTTCCTCACTATATTTATTTGCTGGGTCAGGCTCGATGCAGGAACAAGATACTGAAGCTTTAAAACAGCAAATTATTTATAAAACTTTTTTTGAATAAGTTTATTGTTGACTTATAGTCCCTAGTAGCAATTACAATAATAGCTCTTTAAAAACAAAGACACAAAAAGCAAAACAAACAACAAAAAACACCACTATGAATCCCCCCTCCACCACTTTCTATTGCAGAAACTAAGGTAGTTCATTTATTGTCTATTCCTTGTTAAACTAAACTACATTAGCCAAGTCCAGATTTATATTAATGGATTTACAGTATGCTTTGGAGTAATACAACATGACTTTCTATATCTCAACTAAAATTGTATTGAAGATGATTGAGCTCACAAATAAGTTTTAATTGATTTAAAACATAAAAATAAAAAATATAAATTTTGAAAACCTATGAAAGTTTGTTCACTAGGTTTTCCTGTGGATTTTGTTAATGATTCAGAGCTCTAATTATAAAACTTCATAGCCAGTAGTAAAAAAACAATTGTAATGATGCTATCAATATACTGAGTGGTTATTTTTGTCAAAAATATATTTTAACTTTATTTAGCTATCATATATATGAACAAATAAATATCTACCCTCCCTCCCCCTTTTTAACAGAGTGCCCATGGAAATCACAGTTATTTTCTGGTAGAATTTATTTAGCAACTATTTTCCATACATACACTACAAGTATTTACTCAACTCCTACTTGATATGAAACTCTGAACTACCTACCATGGGAAATGCAGCCAAATAAAGAAGGCATTTTGAGCCACATAACATTTATTAATCCACAGGATGAAATTTTTCAATTTTGAAGAGGTGGTTTTGATGTCACTCATATCTTGTAATATCATACGCTGGAGAATAAAACTTTAAAATGCAAAGCTATCTTTAAATATATTTTATAAAGTAAAATTAGATGTGCATAACCTAATTTATGAAATCTTTTAATCTAATCTAAATGGTATTTCTGTTGAAAGCTACCAGTATAAATATACAGATGGTTGTAGAAATTACTAATCATTAGAAACTTTAAGAGAATGGTGCCATATTATTTGGAATCATTTAAAAAGTTTTAAATGACAATGCAATTTTAAAAGACCATGAAATGAAGGCTACAAAGGAAGAAAAAAGAAAATAACAAGGACAATACTGGTAATAAAAATGCAAAAGGATCATTAACTACGATAAAATGGTCAATTCATTATTACTGTTTGAGGAATCCTTTTATTCATATTTCTTGGGTGGTGCGTTTCTGAGGCAATCAAATGTTAAGTAAATGTATTGTCAGATCATTTTGTCCTTTATACTAAAATATGTAAAAATTACTAGGTTAATGAAAATTTAATTGCCAAGTTAGAAGTAGTATTTCCTTTATAGTGTTTCTTTAAAGGGAATTTAAAATTTGTTTAAGATTTTAACCTTGTCTAAGTTGTCAGAGGAGTAAAAAAAAGATGAGCTTCTAGATATAAGCTCATTAATTTCTATATGGATGATACACAGAGAGATAATTCAGTTTTTTAGCAATATGTAGCTTCCGAAATTCTTGCCTTGATCCTATATTGTAAGGTGGAGAATTTCAGGTAGAGAATTTATTCTCATCTCATGTGAAGATAATCTGATTAAGATTACTGAGGTTTAAATTAATAGGTATCTTAGACATGATATAGAATAATAGAAATACTCCCATTTCTCCCTCCCCACCCACTCCAAAATAATAGCTTTAGTTTCTGCACATTTTCAAATGCTTTGATTACTTGTAACTACATTTTTCCCCTTACCTCCTTATACGTGTGAGTAAACTTGTCAAAAACAAAAATTGAGTTCTATTTTAAGTCTTAAACTCCAGTGCAATTTTGTAAGTCCTTCACACTTCCTTTGTATAATAGTGTTAATTCAAACACAGCATTATCATCTAGGGAAAAAAATACCCCTTTTCAAAATACAACTATGAAAAGAGTCAGATATCTTCAATGGAAAGTTCCTGTCTACAAATAAATTTCATAAATGTATTACTACTACCACACAAAATATCAATTCATTTTCTTCACACGTATGGAGACTTACAGGTATTAAAGAAAATATGGAGACAATTTACTGTTTTCAATTACAACTTGAAGGAAACTGTTAGAAATCCTGCACTTTTCATTTCCAAGAGACAATATTGTATAGTAAAGTTGAGGTAAGCTTTCTTTTACATTTCATCCTTTAAAAAAAGAAAAGGAAGAATGCCTCCTGCATGTAAAGCTGCACTTTGTAAACTGATTAGAAGAATAAGTAAAATGAAATTCACTTTAGCTTGTAATTCAACCATTAGTTTCTATCAGAGATGAGCTTTCAAACTCAAAGTTTTGAGAATTAAAAGATGTATTCTCTCAATAAAACTATAAAACATATGCTACCATGCATTACAGATGGTTGCAAACAGGGTTGTAAACCTGATTTATTTTTATTTATTTGCTATATATAGTGCTCCCTCTGCCATCACCTTACTGCCTCATAACAATGAACCACATATGACAAACTGCAGTATGATTACAGTAAGTTGTATTTTCATAATATTTGTAAGACCTATTTTAAACCAATCTTCCACAACAGAAATGACATAATTTTGTTCCTCTGAGGCTTTTTAATATATTTTCTAACACATAATTGACTATGGATTTATGACTGATCTCATGGAGGTTGCAAATTATTGTCAGAGAAATGGTCAAAGTTCAACCACATAGCCAATACATTTACAACCACTGAAAAGAACAAATTACCTGAAACCAAGTTGTTCTATTGGCCAAGGTAGCTCACCCTTGGACATAATTAGTGAAAAACATTGACATTATCAGAGAAAGTAAACACTATAAAGTAAAATTCATAAACTGCTCAATTGAAATTGGAAAATTAATATTTTAATCAAGCAACTGTGCCAAACTTCTGAACAAACACGTAATCAATTGCCATGGGAAATTGCATAGTATTAATTCTTAACAGTTATTTTTCAAATTAAATACTTTTGTTCTGAATTTTATCTAGCATTATCTCCATCCTACAGATAAAAATAGAGTACAAAAGTTCAAAAATGGAATCAGAACAGAAATAGTATGCATATTAAGATGAACTGTCACAAAATTTTACAAGAAGGCCTGAAGTTTGGTAAAATGTTATTTAAAGGATATTTTCACAGTGGGTGAAATCCTAAAGAAGCTTGCAATACAATAAGCTCAAGTTTATTAATTTTAACTCTGGGAAAGTAGTCATTGATAACTGTTCTCAAGTGACATTTAAAGCAGATGACAAGGCTCATGTTCTCATATGGAGCATAGTTCATGCTTGTACACAGACAGAATCTCCCAAGACTCAGAGCGCTTATTTTTCTGTTGTTTAACAACATACTAGAAGTTTTAAGAAAACTTGTATTGGAAGAAAAGTTATCAATTACTTCTAAACCTTTTCTCCTTATCAACAAACCTGAATGCGTTACTATTACCTGTCAGTGAGGCTCACTAGGCAGCAATTCTCAACAAGGTTATGCATGGCACCGCTATGGGCTTCAGAGAATCAGGGTAGTAAGGAGGTGTAATTTTTAAGAGCCCATTATTTGTCATGATATACATCCCTCATAGGAGCACTCCCACCCACTCACCCTCCTTGAAAATCAAGGGTCTCTCTTCCCCTCATAAGGCACAGCATACTACGAGAAGGGCCTGAATACAAAAGCAATGAAAACACTACCTGTCCTAGCTTTTCGTTAGCTGGGGGTGGATTATTATTTTAAAATTTCACTCCTTGACCTTGGCTTTCAAATATGGCCCATTTAATTCCTGAAGGGTATGTATGGCAGATACTAGTAACCAACAACAAAATTACCTGTGACATTAATGATCAGGGTGCTAGCTGTCTCATCTGTGCTATCTGGTCAGTGTGGTTCTGTAGGAGACACAGATTTCTCAAACTGTTTATTTTTATAGGCCAATTGAGAGCATAACAACTGTAATTTGCTTATCTTAGTTTGCGTTCTATGTTCTCAGGAGTTTATTTTCAAATACTGTTGGATTTCTCATTGGTCAAGGTAGGCTTTATGATACAGGTAGAAGGGGAAAGCCACTTATATTCTGAGTTAACTTCTCCTAAATAAATCCAATGGCTATTTATGCTAGCTCCAGTTATTGACCACTGCCAAGAAAATTAGTTATCATTTTCCCTATAAGTTAGCATTTTATTTTTCACAAAAAAATGCAGGTCCAAAAAAACCAGCTTTGAGGCATCTAGAATGGATTTGGTCACATTAAGGCATCACATCTGGTACAGGACATAGTCCATTCAGTAACCTTGATAGAGTGGTATCTGGTCTCTATGAAGTGTTACCCCCTCTTGCTTTATTGAAAGTCAGAGTATGTGGGTTTATCTGCTCCGTATTCACCCTACCATATTTGTCACAAAAGCTCTCTTCCTCTGAAGAGATGGTGAAATTATAAATTTCCAGGTGTTTTGACAGTTGTGGTACAGGCTGGATTTATTTAGTCATATTAAGTATATCATCTAGGAAGCTAAAAGGCTAGATTTTCAGATAGTACAACCATACTAGCATGATCACTGAAAGAAAATAAGTAAGTAAATGTACAAGAGTTTGCTATAATATAGAAAGAAAGAAAGAAAGAAAGAAAGAAAGAAAGAAAGAAAGAAAGAAAGAAAGAAAGAAAGAAAGAAAGAAAAAGAAATTGCACTTTTATAAATATACATGAATAAAGCTCATGGAGTGCTAGCCATTCAACCACCTGTCCTATCTGTAGCTGGAAGGGGCCATGGCATGAAGTGTTATAAAAGAGTTTTGCCTGGAATATCAAAGACACAGAAGGAAATAAAGAGGGACACCGGAAAAGGGCAATGATGACAAGAGGTACTTTTGCCTTGCACATGCTCCTGCCTTACTCTATTATCTTCAAGCAATAAAGCCAGGAAGGGAAAAATTTACTCTTACCTTGGTGGGACGGAAGAGAGAATAACACACAGCAAGGAAAACGGAAGGCAAAACACAAGAATGTGTACAAAGCAATCAACTGCTACATCACTCAGCCTGTTATGGACACAGTTGCACAGTTCAATTTATGCTAATACGTGCTATCAATTTCAAAAGAAAATTCATTGTCATTTCATTTTGATGCACACATATATTCTGCAAGAGTTTTATTATGATTCTGAATATAACACCTGAAAGAGATGCTGCGCTATCATTTGTACACTTGTATGAGAAATTACAATGACATTAGTAGATTAGATGCTCATTTGAAGCTCATAAATAAATTTTTCCATATCTCTTTTAGTAAAACCCATTTCAAGAGTACAGTTAAACACTCTAATAGCAAGCTCAATCAATTCTATTACAATTATTAAAAGAATTGGATTTCTTAGGATGGAGTATGGACATATGCCATACATAATATAATATAATTTAGACTATGCAAATATAATATAATTTAGATTATATGTCATGTCTTCATTTATTGGTGATTTCACTAACTACATGTTATGTTAACAAGCACCATAATACTTCATAGGTCCTACTTTTAGCTAATTTCTGAAACAATGAATATTATTATATTTATGAGTTTTCAGAAAAATATTTTCCATTGGAAGAGTGTTATTACTGGTACTAATAGCAATAATGGCAATAAAATAATTAACGGTTATGAGAAGTTATACTATACCAGGTGTACCATGTACAGCTATCAATTACTTTACAAAATAAGCATTATTATCACCCTTATATTTTAGATTAGCAAACTAAGGATCAGAGGTGTTAAATCATTTGCAAACTTTAAAAAACTAGTAACTATGAAAAATAGAATTTAAAACTGTGCCTGTCTGCACTCATATGACACTAAATTTTTGCTATATTGGTCAATAGCCCACAGAAAAGTGAAACCTCGGAACATGATTAATCTGAAGTTCATTAAATAAATCTTGATTTATTTAGTAAAGCATGGTTACTGTTATTGCTTTCTGTCCCAGGATACAATATTAGAGGTTATTTTTTAAACTAGAAAAAATTTGGAAACTTAATGCTTTTAGGATTATGTCTTCCAAATGGTTTTAGGTATGTGTGTGCATGTGCATAGGCATGAAGGTAAATAATTATAGGGGAAGCTACTAAAATAATTCTCCTTTTTCAACTTTCTCCCACTTCACTAACACTTAAGTTTTCCTTTCTTTAAGAAGAGGAAAATTTTTTTATAAAGCTGAAACTGGAGGAAGGAGAAAAGAAGGGAAAGAAGGAAAGGAGAAAGGCAGGGAGTGAAGGGGAGGATAGAGGAAAGAAGATAATGCAACGTTTTCTGCATATGTTTCAATTGCTTCTCTAACATAATTCTCAATAGTAAAGTGGCAATAGTACTGAACACCACAGAATACCAAACATTGTCCAAATTAGTTAGGCTACCTTGGGCAGGTCATTATATACTTTGCATCTAAATTGCTATGTTTATAAAGGAAGAACATTGGATAAAATCAACTCCAAGGTCGCTTTTGAATAAAATTATACTATTTCCTCTAGTATTTTCAGCTTAGATTATGAGATACCATATTATTTTTAAAGGGCTTGTTAAAAATATGCAATACCCTGTTTTTGCCATTTCATCATATTTTCAAATTCATGAATATAAATGTTTTATTTTAATAATTTCCTAAAATAGTATTATTTTATGCAACAATAAGCATTGATATTAGTTATTATATTGTTAAAATTGTGCCTTTATATTATTCATTATCTTTGTTTTTGTCATCTAAATGAAAACATAGTTTGATGCAAATTTTTCCTTAATTTGAAACACACATATCAGTCCTAAAAATGTAGTCCAAAAATAATGCAGGACAAATTGTTATTACAATATTCATGACATTGAAGAAAATGCATTTCTTAGTCAACTCTGGTTGCTCTCTTTCTCTACCTTGCATTGTTTTTTAAAGACAGGACAGTAATGTTTCAAATTGCTTGCAGCAATGCCTGAAGTCTAGAACTACTGAAATGTCCTTAGCTCTATAAATACTATTTACGCTCTATTTATTAAGAGCAGAACATTTTGGTCAATTCTATTATACTTTGAGGTTAATAGGTATCTATTGATTGTCTAATAGCTTAATAGTAACAAAAAAATACAGTGGCTGAAAGAACCAGCATATTAATAACATTTTTAATCCAAATGAAATCTATGTTTGTTCGCCGAAAAATATTTCCTTGAACTCATACAATTTCTCTGCTCCCCTTTCCATCTTGAACCTACTAGATCCAGACTTTCACTTCCAATATTACACTGAAAATTCTCTTATCAAGGTCACAAATAACCCTCTGTGGTGCTAAAATCAAATAGTTATTTGTCAGATCTAATTTTACTTCACAGATCTCATTTTCTAGACTCTACATTTGACATTGTTGATCATGCTTCTCCTTTCTTGAAATAGCTTCTCATGTGACTTCTGATCTGCCATTGGTTTAGTTTTTCACTTACATCATACTAACCTCTTCTCAGTCTACTTAGCTGATTTCTTCTTACCTCCTCTATTTCTAAAAGTTGAAATATCTTAGGATCAGTACCCAGACTTTTCATCTTCTCCATCTATACTCGTACCCTAAGTGATCTCATCCCTTCTTATGGTTTAAAACCCCATTTGTATACTCTTTATTCCAAGCCAACACATCTCTCCTAAAATACAGCCCTGTATATCTAAATGTCTACATAACGCTTCTATTTACATGAGAAAAAGGCACAACAAACCCAATCTTCCCCTGCAACCTTTTCTTCTAAACTCCAAACTTTCTTCTTCCCAAGTCTTCACCGTCTCTAATTTGAAAAATGCAAACTTCTATTTTCTTAGGTGAAAAAAAATGGAGTCACCTTTGATTCCTTCATTATTATTAAAGAAGGATACACACATATCACACATACAATATATTAGGGAACTTTGTTGGCTGTATCTTCAAAACACATCTATAATCTGACAAATATCTGCCACATCTACTGCTATGATCCTTGTATAAACTGTAATTCACCTACATTATTTCAAAAGCTTTCTAAGTAGTCTCCTTCTTTTTGCTCCAGTCCCATTTATTGTTTTCCCAATAGCAATCAAGTTGTCCATCTTAAAACATACATTAGATCATGCCACTTCTTTGCTCAAAATCTTCCTATAAGAGTGATCTCAGACTCTTTTTTTATGCTGATAATGACAGTTTGTCCCAGGAGCCACTGCTGAAATCAGTTTGCAGTTTTTCCAACACTTCTAGAACCAGCCAGATTACACTTCCCTCACAGATACCACTACCAGTTAGCCAGCATCTGCTTCTCAAAGGTTTGGGTCTCAAGCCCAGAGAAACCTCCTCTGTGCTCATAAACATAAGCATCAGCTGAGCTGCACCTCATGTTTGGAGGGTTGCAGTTCTGTCCAAAATGTAGTAAGCCCAGTATAGCCCATATATACCACTTGTTATAACTAAAATCTCTGGAAAATATACAAAAGGCAACTACCCGAGGACTCTGAAAGGTAAACAAAAGGAAGGCAGGTTTAGAAAAAGAGTCAAAACATAGAGAAGCAACACATTCAGGGAGGAGTTTCCTCATACATTTTTCCCTTTGTCTCACAGATTTGTCCATAATGTAAGCTCCCTTTGCAAAGCTCAACAGAGGTATAGAGCTGACAGCTAGAACTTCAGTTGAAAATGCATAGAGGAACCAGAAAAGAGTCAGAGAATGTAGCAGCAGTCCTAGAAACAGAAATGTTAACTAAAGGGACTCCATAATTCTATGTGAACCCACACAAATCCCAGGTTCCCCTACGAACTGCACGAGCCAGAGAGAGACCCAAAGCAGGAGAGTAAGGGGTTTTGAAACCTGAACTATGATATAACCTAAAACCTTAACTTCAGATTATCCCCTGAATCATGCATGTACTGGATTAATCTAGACATCATAGGAAAGCCTTTAAAAATTTAACAGATACTAGAACAACTGCTGGTTAAACAAATAAAGAAAAAAATCAGCATTATCCAGATGATTAAAATAGAACCCAGAGGCTATACTATATAACATTTAACATAAAAACACTCAGGAAAATATGAGAGATTCTCAAGGGAAAAAAAAAAAAAAAAACATTTGCCAATAGAAATTCTGTGTTCCTGCTGAGAGAAATCACAGACAACACAAGCAAATTCTACACTTATGAATGGATAGAATCAATATTGTGAAAGGTACCATGCTGCCAAAAGCAATCTACAAATTCAATACAACTCCCATCAGATTCCACCCTCATTCTTCACAGAACTAGAAAAAAAAATCCCCCAGTTCATACATGAAAACAAAAAAGAGCCCGCATAGCCAAAGCAAGTCTAAGCAAAAAGTACAAATCTGGAGGCATCATATTACCTGACTTTATACTATAAGGCCATAATCACCAAAACAGCATGGTACAGGTATAAAAATAGGCACATAGACAAATGGAACAGAATAGACAACCCAGAAATAAACCCAAATACTTACAGCCAACTGATCTTTGACAAAGCAAACAAAAACATAAAGTGGCGAAATTATACCCTATTCAACAAATGGTACTGGGATAATTGGCAAGCCACATGTAGAAGAATGAAACTGGATCCTCATCTCTCACTTTTTATAAAAATCAACTTAAGATGCAACAAGGACTTAAATCTAAGACCTGAAACTATAAAAATTCTGCAAGATAACATTGGAAAAACCCTTCTAGACATTGGCTTAGGCAAACACTTCATGACCTAGAACCCAAAAGCAAATGCAACAAAAACAAAGATAAATAGGTGAGATTTAATTAAACTGAAGAGCTTCTGCACAGCAAAGGAAACAATCAGCAGAGTAAACAGACAACCCTCAGAGTGGAAGAAAATCTTTGCAATCTATACACCTGACAAAGGACTAATGTCCAGAATCTACAAGGAACTCAAAGGAATTAACAGAAAAAACAAAACAAAACAAAAACAATCCTATCAAAAAGTGGGCTAAGTACATGAATGGACAATTCTCAAAAGAAGATAAACAAATGGCCAACAAACATGAAAAAAGCCTCAACATCACTAATTATCAAGGAAATGCAAATCAAAACTACAGTGCAATACCACCTTACTCCTGCAAGAATTGCCATAATAAAAAAATCAGGCTGGGCGCGGTGGCTCAAGCCTGTAATCCCAGCACTTTGGGAGGCTGAGGCGGGCAGATCACGAGGTCAGGAGATCAAGACCATCCTGGCTAACATGGTGAAATCCCGTCTCTACTAGAAATACAAAAATAATTAGCAGGGCCTTGTGGCGGGTGCCTGTAGTCCCAGCTACTTGGGAGGCTGAGGCAGGAGAATGGCGTGAACCTGGGAGGCAGAGTTTGCAGTGAGCCGATATCGCGCCACTGCACTCCAGCCTGGGCAATAGAGTGAGACTCCGTCTCAAAAAATAAAGAAATAAAGAAATAAATAAAATAAAAAATAAAAAAAATAGACGTTGGCGTGGATGTGGTGAAAAGGGAACACTTTTACATGGTTGGTGGGAGTGTAAACTAGTACAACCACTATGGAAAACATTGTGCAGTTTCCTTAAAAAACTAAAAGTAGAAATATCACTTGATCCAGCAATCCCACTACCGAATATCTACCCAGAGGAAAATAAGTCATTAGACGAAAAAAATACTTGCACATGCATGTTCATAGCAACACAATTTGCGATTTCAAAAATATATAACCAACTCAAATGCCCATCAATCAACCAGTGAATAAATAAATTGTGTTTTATACCATGGAATACTATTCAGCCATAAAAAGGAATGATATAATCACATTTGCAGCAACCAGGATGGAATTGGAGATCATTATTCTAAGTTAAGTAACTCAGGAATAGAAAACCAAATATCATATTTTCTCACTCATAACTGGGAGCTAAGCTATGAGGATGAAAAGGCATAAGAATGATACAATGGACCCTGGGGACTCAGGAGAAAGGGTGGGAGGGGAGTGAGGGATAAAAGACTACAAATTTGGTACAGTGTACACTGCTGGGGTGATGTGTGTACCAAAATCTCAGAAATCATCACTGAAAAACTTATCCATGTAACTGACAACTACCTGTTCCCCAAAAACCTCTGGAAATAAAATGTAAAAAAAAAAAAAAAGAAAAAAGAAATTCTATGGGTTCATTTATTTCACTGAGCCGGTATATAAGAGCTGCTTAAAATCACTGTCTAATAAGTAGACATTCTATTTCTTTCACAGAAGTAGAAACTATAAGATAATCAAATAAAAATTTTAGAACTGAAAATTCAATATCTAAAATAAACAATTCCAAAGGTCTAATATCCAGAATCTATAAGGAATTTAAACAAATTAACAAGCAAAAAACAAACAACTCCATTAAAAAGTGGGCAAAGTACATGAACAAATACTTTTCAAAATAAGACATACGTGTGACCTACAAGCACAGTATGAAAAATGCTCAGCATCACTGATCATTAGATAAATGCAAATCAAAACCGCAATGAGATACTCACAATGTTGTGGAGAAGAGGGAAGAGTTACATATTGTTAGTTGGAATATAAATTAGTTCAGCCATGTGGAAAGCAGTGTGGGGACTTCTCAAATAACTTAAAGTAGAATTACCGTTTGACCCAGCAGTCTCATCCTTGGGTATATACCTAAAGGAATGTAAATCGTTCTGCCATAAAGACATATGCAAGTGTATGTTCATTGCAGCATTATTCACAATAGCAAAGACATGGAACCAACGTAAATGCCCATCAATGGAACACCAGATAAAAATACGTAGTGCCTATACACAATGGAATACTATGTAGCAATAAAAAGAGAATGAGATCATGTTCTTTGCAGAAATGTAAATAAAGCTGGAGGCCATTATCTTAAGCAAACTAACACAGAAACAGAAAACCAAATACCACATGTTCTCACTATAAGTGGGAGCTAAACTGAGTACATATGGACACAAAGAAAAACTACCTATTGGATACTATGCTTTTACTTGGGTGACAAAATAATCTGTATACCAAGGCCCCATGGCATGCAATATACCTGTATAACATGTGCCCCTGAACTTAAAAGTTAAAAAACAAAACACAGATAAATAAACTATTCACATAATATGATCATGTGATTGAGAGCAGAACGGAGATGACAGAGGCAAGAGTCAATGAACTTGAAGACAGACCAATAACAATTATCCAATCTGAAGAACAGAGAGAGAAGAAAGATTGAAAAAAGACGGAGAAGAGCTTCAGGAAACAGTGGGAAAATCTCAAAAGTTTTAAAATAAATGTCTTTGACGTCTCAGGAAGAAGAAAAAGTGATTGCTCCATAAAAAAAAATGTGAAGAAATTAGGACCAAAAACTTCCAGATTTGATGAGAAACAAAATTACATATTCATTAGCTCAGCAACCCCCAACCATGATAAACTGAAAGAAATCAATGCCCAGATACACCACAATCAAGCTTCTAACAATAGAGAAAGAAAATGTTAAGTAGCTAGAGAAAAATAATTCATTATAATTAATGGAACAATAATTTGAATTACCAATGTTCTCTCATTAAAAGCCATGAAGGCCAGAAAATAGTGAGATGGTATCTTAAAATGATGAAAGAAAGCAACTAACTCCTAATGTAAAACTTTATATCCATTAAATATCCATTAAAAACCCTCCTTGGGATGAAGGATAAAGAAAGGCATTCGTAGATGAAGGGAAACTCACAGAACTCACTGCCAAAAGATCTCAGGCTGAAGGAAAATTACATGAAGTTGAATTTATTAAATCTCGTTCTTAAGAGAAAAAATTAAATATTCAATTTCATTGTTGTAACTAATAAAAAGTTAATTTGAAGGCCTGTAGGAAAAAATTTCAGGAATAAAGTAAGAGAAAGATGAATAATAAAAAATGGGTAATATAAAACTAAATTTTCTTTTCTTAAATTCTTTAAATTATGTATGATCATTGCAATCAGTACATAGTTGTAACCCATATGACAACTATAACAAAAAGGTTTGTGGGAAAAGATAAACTCCATGGTAAAACTTCCACATTTTTACTGTGGTAGTAAAATATAACTCTGAGTAAACTGTGAAAGGTTAGGTATGTATATTATCAGGCCTAGCGCAAGCACTAAGAAATAATACAGGAGACATAGTCAGAGGTCAACAGATATATTAAAGTGGAATATGAAAAACAAATCCAAGGAATTCAAAAGAAAAGGGGGAGAGAGAGGCTGGGCGTGGTGGCTCACGCCTGTAATCCCAGCATTTTGGGAGGCCGAGGCAGGCGGATCACGAGGTCAGGAGTTCGAGACCATCCTGGCTAACACGGTGAAACCCCGTCTCTACTAAAAATACAAAAAATTAGCTGGGTATGGTGGCGCGCGCCTGTAGTCCCAGCTACTCAGGAGGCTGAGGCAGGAGAATTGCTTGAACCTGGGAGGCAGAGGTTGCAGTGAGCTGAGATGGTGCCACTGCACTCCAGCCTGGGCGACAAAGCGAGAATCATCTTAAAAAAAAAAAAAAAAAAAAAGGGTGGAGGGAGGGGAGAGAGAAACAGAAAAGGGAAGGGACAAATAGGAAACACCTATTAAAATGGTAGAATTAAATCCAATAACATCAATAAATACATGAAAATAAATAGTTATAGCACATGTATTTTAAGATTTTCAGGTTGGATTAAAAAAACAAAATGAAACAAAAAAAAACAAAGCCCAACTATATCCGTGAACAAAAAAGCTGCTTTAGCTAGAAAGACCTAGGTAGGATAAAAGTTAAGATAGCTAGCCAGGTGCAGCAGTGCACACCTGCAGTCCCAGCTATTTGGGAAGCTGAGGTAGGAGAATCTCTTGAACCCTGGAGTTTGAGCCAGCTGGGGCAACGTAACAAGACCTTGTCTCTAAGAAAAAAAAAGACAAAAAAAAAAAAAAAAAAAGAACAAAAAAACAGAAAACAGACATACAAAAAAGCTAAAAGATGGAAAAAGATATACCATGCAAACCAAGAGCAAAAAAGTTGAAATGACTATATTAATATCAGAAGTAGACATCAGAACAAGGAATATAAACACGGATATGGAGTGAAATTTTATAATTATAAAAGGATCAATTTACCAAGAAGAATTAACAATCCTACATATATATACACCTTAAAACAGAGCTTTGAAATACATGAAAAAAAAAACCCAATACAACTGGAGAGAGAAAACAAACATTTCTACACAGTACATAGGCCAAAAGGAAATCACAGTTGAATGAAAACAAAATAAAGCATATCACAATTTGTAAGATGCAACGAAAGCACTGGTTAGAGGGAACATTACATTAAATACTACAAACTAGAAAAGAAGACAGTTCTCCATTCCATGTTCTAAATTTTCACCTTAAGAAACTTGAAGAACAGCAAATACAATCAAAGCAAGCAAAAAGAAGAAGAAGAAAAATAAGTCATTAACCAGGCATAGTGGTGTGTGTGTTTAGTCCTAGCTACACGAGAGGCTGAGGAAAAAGACCACTTGAGCCCAGGAGTTTGAGGTCACAGTAAACTATGATCGTACCACTACACTCCAGCCTGAGTGACTGAGCAAGACCATGTCTATCTAAAACAAAAACATAAATCAATAAAATTTAAAACAGAAAAATAATGAAAACAATATGAAATCAAAATCTAGTTCTTTGAAAGGTCCAAGGTGGGAGATAATGAAAAGGGGCAATACAAAGCATTTAGTATATATGACATTTATTTGTAATAACATTTTTCCTCCTGGCAAAGTAAATCATAGCAAAACTCTCACTAAAATGCTATCTAGGAAAAAAAGTCAAGAATATCTGCTGTTGCCTCCAGGAAGAAGACTGCATGATACATTTGAAATGCATGCATACTTTTGTGATTACCTGGCCGTTTATATTTTATGATTACCTGCTGTTACAGATAATAAAAAAATTTGCTTTATTTGACAGTTATGTCTCAGTAAGCAACAAAACTGAATAGTAATTATTCCACATTGCTAAACTAGTAGAAACTACTAGTAATAGTAAGGATGTTAAATTTGAATAACTAAAAAAATAGAATAACTAGTAGATAGAGAAGAGACCTAGCTTGGGGCAATGGAAGCATGATGGAAATCTGATGGTGATTAGTAGTTTAGGTATACACCAATATATATCAGTGAAAGATTAGTCAAATGTTATTTAACGTCATATTGAAAATATAAAATGCTTTATCTACTTAGGTTAAAGGCCTACACTAAAAATGAGCAAACTGAATACTTCTTATGTATTAAACCAATCTGCTAGGAGTCGGCTATGCGAGCCTTAACCTTCTAGTTTGTGAAATCAGAGCAGGCTTTTGCATAAGAGAGGAAAGGGGCAAAAAAAAAAAAAAAAAATGGAAGAAAAGAAGAAAACAAAAGTGTGTGACCATGGCTATAAACCAAAGTGATTTTGCAGTTGTTCAATACTAATTAAACACATTAGGCAACTAGCTAAGCCTCTGCAATATTCATAGCCTATAACAGTTTCACAATCTTTTCCACCAGTCATTTTTACCTTTAGAGTGAGCAAGGAGCAGAAATATAGTTTAACAAAAATTACATGTGTATTAGGACTCCCTGAACATTGAAAGACACTCTTCAAATCCTTATTGAGTAGTCTCTAAGTGTCTTTTATGAAATAAAATTAGAAAAACTTTCTATTTCACTATTGTAAGTAATAAAAAGATTTGTTTGAAGGTTATTATAGAAGATTCATAATTCAATTACAGACATATTTGGCTTCCATGTCAACTGTGACCAAGACAGAGTATGTAGCTTTTGTTCTAATACTGACTGCGTTTATAAAAAACAGAAATAAAAAAAAATAGTACTGATTTAGCAGCTATAGGCTTGCTAGGTCATTAGCACTGTATGTGAAAAAAATATACATGAAAAGAAAGTGATTGACACTTTGCAAATGTCTACTCATATAAAATGTAAAAACTAATATTTACTTGCATTGTACAGTTCAACTAACAATATTCATTAACTTCTGCCGGAATTTTCATTTATTGCTACCTTTCTTTTAACAAATCACTCATTTGTTTACAGATGGCATTTATTCAAAGCATAATGCATGTTACAGCATCATTCAGGGGAGGACCACAATAGCTTAAGAAAAACAACTCTGACAGTCATCCACCCACCTCTGTCATTGTTAAAATCAATGAGGTATATTTACATGCAATGAAGTAATTGTCCGGTATATGAAAGTTATAATTATGAGATAATGTTAAACTAAAAAAAAAATGCCACCAAAGTGGCTTGGATCCTGAAAACACAATAAATAACGTACAACTTTTATTCATATTTAACACATATTCAATTATCAGAATAAATAAAAGCACTTGTTTTAATGTACTCAAAGAGAAATATTATACATTTAACTTTTTTAAAAAGGGGTAATCCTTTTTTATTCTTTATTTTTATGTGCATATAATAATTGCACACATTTATCAGGTACATGTTATACTTTGATAAAAGCATAGAACGGGAAATGATCAAATTAGGGTAATGGGGTAAAAGTCACCTCAAACATTTATCATTTCTTTGTGTTAGGAATATTTTAACTCCACTTCTCTAGTTATTTGGGAATCACTTTCTAATTTCCATTCTCAATCCGAGATTTTTTTTTTATAAACATGTGCCTTCCATTGTTTCTCTTTTGAATTGGATATGTAGAATTTTTATTTCAATTTTCATTTTTAAATTTTGTGAGTATGTAGGAGGTGTAATATATTTATGGGGTACATGAGATGTTTTGATACAGGCATGCAATGTGAAATAATTACATCATGGAGAATGGGGTATCCATCCTCTCAAGCATTTATCCTTTGTGATACAAATAATCCAATTACACTCTTTTAGTTTTTTTCAAAATGTACAGTTATTATTGACTATAGTCACCCTATTGTTCTATCAATTAGTAGGTCTTACTCATTCTTTCTATTTTTGTGTACTCATTAACCATTCCCACTTCCTCAATCACGCCACTACCCTTTCCAGGATCTGATAATCATTCTGCTGCTTTCTATATCCAGGAATTTTTGCACACTAAATATTAATAATTTGACCTAAGAAAATACAGACACACAAACACACACACATATATACACACAATAGCAAATCTTTGACTTTCAGTACAGCACAGTGAGAAATAAAAAGTGTTCACTCTCATATAATAAGCACATATTAAGGCAATTTTTCCAATTATACAAAGTGAAAAATAACTATAAATATTTTATTTCCAAATAATATAAATCTTCAAAGATAAAATGTATTTTTCTATTAATTTAAAAGAATTATAGAATGCCAATATTTTATTTGTGGTATTCACAACTTGTGCCAGTTCACCTGGTAGTTAAAACATATATTCAGTCTAAATTGTGTCCTCGAATTCTTATTTGCATGATTGCTATTTAGTGAAGTAACTAAATAGGTTAAACATATCTCTTGTTGTAGTTATAAACACAACAAATTATTATTTTTCTTTTCTTAAAATCCCTGCAATTCAGCTTTAAAGTCACTAGAATATTTTTATCGGAAATATTTTCTAGTTGCCTACACTGTATCCTCTTATTTTAATGCAAATGAATACTGACATATTTTGGACTGTTTCAAAATTTTTCATTTATACAGAGTAAAAGTAAAAATACTATTTTTTGCGAGATGTACTTAACATTCAGGAAGGATAATTGATGCATTGTAATTGCATTGATGGACTAGAGTTCTCATTCACATAAAAATTGTAAATTACATTCTTTGTTAGTCAATGATGTAAAAGTACATTAATGTCATGAAATAAAGGTCCACAATTGTCTGAAAGTTATTTTAAAAGGAGAAAATTATAGGCACACATATGTTCACCCATATATGGTTAACCACCTCTTCTAGGAAGTTAACTGTTTCTCCTGAAAGTGGTAGTGTAAGTTAGACAGTAGAGTACTTTCCTCTGATGAAGTACATCACTCTCTCATCTCAATGAGCAGTGAATGGGTAATGATGAATGCATTATAGAACTTTTCACTCAATACCATCTGCTTCAGAGAAAAAAACAAAAGCTGAAATTGTCTAGGAAAGTTTAAAAAAGTATGACGTTTCTATCAAAATCCCCATGCTTGCAAAGAAAACCTTCTTTTCTCTCCAAATTAGCATTACTGATTAGAAATGAGAGTCTGTACTAAAATAAATTAAGAAGTATACACTGTCCTCAAAGATAAATCCTGAGAAGAGAATATAATTACCTTCTGAAAATGAAATTTTCAATTCATAGGCCAATGGATGTGACTGAGAATAGAAATTCCATTCTGATTTCTTATGTCATCCTTTGGATAAGAATTGCATTCTAGGACTCAAGATATGAAGTGTTACTGGTGCAGCCATGTGACTCTTGGTTAAGAATGACTGATTGTCTTGGAAAGCTGTAACGCTACAGAATTTTTTTTTTAAATAGTGATTCTATGAAACAGTCTGTGATGTCTTAATTCTATTTCCTCTTGTTCCATTCACAATGAAAGTGTATGTGTCAATGTGGTGAATCTGTAAACAAACATATTTGTGTCAGGATCACATAAGAGTTAAAGACAGATATTGGTGGCACATGTACCACTGGTTCCATCATGTCCTAATGGTGTAAATTGAACAACCTCCTTAACCTCTTTAAGCTTCAGTTTACTAACCCTTAAATTTGAGATGTTAAGTTTATCCCATATGTTTGTTTTGAGAATAAAATGTTAGTGCTTTGAACACGGTAAGCACATGATTTAAGACCTTGATATTATTACTTAATAGTAGTAGTACTTAAACATTTAGTTTGACATA
Organism: Homo sapiens; assembly: GCF_000001405.40. Lineage (NCBI taxonomy): Eukaryota > Metazoa > Chordata > Mammalia > Primates > Hominidae > Homo > Homo sapiens. The sequence goes on along the minus strand of NC_000024.10, from coordinate 5,527,510 downwards.
GTTTCTACATTTTCCACAATGATTACTGCCTGATCCATTCTACTGAGAAATAAAAATAAAAAAGCCCATAATTCAATTGAATGACCTCTCCTATTGGCCAAGGGATCCCCAAAGAAACCTTGGAACCTGAGTTTCTGGCCATGACTCAATGGGAAGGCGTCATTCCTTATTATAATCCTTCACTCCCTCACTAACCACCAATAGGCTTTCTTCTCTAAGGATTAAACAGAAACCAAACCTTTCAAGAGACTTGCTGCACTGCTAGTTTTAACCAAGTACCTGATATTGCTCCCTCTTTTTGAGGTTTTAACAAAACAACAGACCAGCACTTCTTCCTAATAATAGACTGCCAGCTATGGGATGGTTCTGGACAGTCTACGGAGGATGCACAGTGAGGGTTTTTGTGTCCTCTACTTCATCTTTTAATGTCAGAGGGCCAAAAACTCCACCCTCATATGCCAACACTGCCATTTTTTGAACATGGATCCCATGGAGAGGCATAAAGCTCAGTTGTACATACACATATTTCTTCTTTCATAAATATTCATGCCTCCTCCTATAGCTTACTGAATATGTATATTTGGCCACTTCATTCAGCACAAATCCATGTCTTATTCTTCCGACCCTTTAAGTATTTGTTTCTGGCTTCTGATTGGAGGTTAGCCTTCCCAGCCTGTCACAACAGCCACTCTGCAGGCTGCAATCCCTTATGGAAATAAAGATTTTCTTTCCAAATTTATGAACCTCATCATTCTTCAGTTGACATTATCATAGTATTGAGAGACTATGAGTTGAGGAGCCATGGATACCTAAGCCTAACAGCACCAATCTATGGTAATAAGACCTTTTGAGAAATATATGTGCATCAAATAATAATAATATTTGATTCCTTTCAAAGAGAGATACCATTAGAATTTGCTCAGCTCTTGAGAAAATAATATATATATATGTAGATCTAAAGATTGCCAAATTCTTTTTAACAGAAATGAAGAATGCCTTTGATGGCCTTATCAATAACTTGGAGATAGCTGAGGAAAGAATCAAAGACTTGATGTCTATTGACAAAACTCGTCAATAGAAGGTTTCCAAAATGAAATGCAAATAATAAATAAAGAATGAATAGAAAAAATAATCCAGCAAAATGGTGGACTCATGTGCTGCTCCCACTTGGAAGGACAGAACAGCATGTGGAGACTCACATCATAAACGTTTGCTCCAAGAACCACCACAGGAACATACCAGAACACCAAAAGAATTCACAGACCCTTTGAAAGAAGCAGCTTGCACTGCAAATCTTCTTGCTTTATTTGGGCCACAATTTTGGCTCTGTGCTTCACAGAAAACAAGACAAATAAAGCAACATAATTAGATAAATTATACATGCTGTCAAAAACAAAAGACAAAGCAATTTCTTAGGAGAAATAGACCTATCTTCATCAGAGAACCACCTAACATATACATATGATCATGTACATACGAAGCTTCTAGCTGCTTATCTTAGAATGAATATGCTTACTTTTTTCTCTACCTAAAAATAAATTTACACACACACACACACACACACACAGAGAGAGAGAGAGACTGTTTTTTGAAACATATGAAAAATTGATAATAGGTAATAATTAATTAATAGAAAATAATTCTTTTTGCAGTTCCAACAAACAAATCTTTAAATGAAGGTACTATAGATGCAAGATTGTGTGAACTCCTATTATGGTAATAAAAGATAAACTCCAAGAGTGTGGGTATGCTGGTTTATAAAAAAAAGATAAATTATACCATATTTATCTACCTCTTTATCTATATATATATATACTATTTTCTTTATTTTGATCATCAAATTTTTATCTTTAGAAATTAAATTGTCAACAATTAAAGCCCCCTGTGACAGTGTAGCACCTCAGTAGGTTCTGAGACGTACAATTGGGCAACTACGTCATACTTTAAAGTTGCCATTTCTGGTATCACTGTTACAGGTGCCAATAGAGTGAGAGCAAAGTCTCACCTTCTGACAGCCAAAAAAGGAAGAGAACTACTGCAGGCAGATGTGTTACAGTGAACTATTATCCCATGTAAAGAAAGACCTTTAGCTTAAGCAGTTGAAGGTAAAGCAAAATCCTTATTTTGGCAACGGGGAAATCTCTCTCTCTCCTTTTTCTTCCTCCTCCTCCTCCTCCTCCTCCTCCTCCGCTGCTGCTGCTGTTGCTTGTGCTGCTGCTGCTGTTGCTTCTTCTTCTTCTTCTTCTTCTTCTTCTTCCTCCTCCTACCCCCTCCTCCTCCCACTCCTCCTCCTCCCACTCCTCCTCCTCCCACTCCTCTTCCCTCTTCTTCTTCTTCTTTTTCTTCTTCTTCTCTCTTTCTTCTTCTCTCTCAAAATTTTACACCAATAGCATACCTTGTTTACCTTCAGTTTATCTGATTATACTTCTCTGAAACAGCATGTCCAATCTCCATTTCCTGTTAACTCTTACCTGCCCTTTAAAAAAAGTGCAACACTATTTACAAAAGCAAAGACTTGAAACCAACCCAAATGCCCATCAGTGATAGACTGGATAAAGAAAATATGGCACTTATACACCACAGAATATTATGCAGCCATAAAAAAAGAATGAGTTCATGTCCTTTCTTTTGCAGGGACATGGATGAAGCTGGTAACCATCATCCTCAGCAAACAGGAACAGAAAACCAAATACTGCATGTTCTCACTCATAAGTGGGAGTTGAACAATGAGAACACATGGACACAGGGAGGGGAACATCTCACACAGGGGCCTGTTGGGGGGTTGGTGGGAAAAAAGAGGGAGAGCATTAGGACAAATACCTAATGCATGCGGGGCTTAAATCCTAGATGATGGATGGATAGGTGCAGCAAACCACCATGGCACATGTATACCTATGTAACAAACCTGCATGTTCAACATAGGTATCCCAGGGCTTAAAGTAAAATTTTAAAAGTACAATAACATAGGATAGCCAATTTATTCAACCTAAGGGGAAATATAACGTTAATGTGTATTTATAGCATTGACCTACTCAAACTTTCTCTGATAGTAATCTCTTGCAATATATTTGGATTTTAAAAAATTTCTTCTTCATATCTTATATTAGCTTTAAAAACTGGTGATACAAAACAACAGGAATAGTGAAAACAAGAGATTATTTTAAATGTAATCTGTTGACTTTATTTACTTCCCCAGTAATAACAGGATGTACATAGCTTTCATTAAATTAAGCCTTTTTCTTAGTGACTGATACCACATGAATATATTTTGCTTCTTACAGAGTTTGCAGGTTCTTCTTTCTTACCCTCAAGATACAAATTGTTTTCTTTAATAGAAGACCAGTATCCTTTGATGGCATCAAACATCAGTTGGCACTTTTGCCTTCTGCCTCAAGAAAGCAGTCTTTACTACTTATACAAATTCTCTTATTTTTCCATTTTCCCCTATAATATTTTGGCATTGTTGATTCAAAATATGAGCTTCTAAATTCCTAACATTTCCTGCTATATTTTATAATAATAAATATTACGCTTGAGTTTCTGGATTTACAGCCTTATAAATCCTTTAAGCCAATTCAGCAAAAACTAATGATAATCACAAACTAGATTTTAAAAATATCCTATATTTTCCTTTGTTTCTTGATGGAAACTACTACCTTTCCTTAAAGGTATCTTTTCTTTATATCCTTTCTGGTTCTCCCTTTCACACAGGTGCAGCATTAAAATCCAATAACTTGGTACCACAGGGGCAATTCTGCATGAAGAGTACCACTGAAGTACCGATTTCACTTTGAAAATATCACAAGAATATATCTTTTGTTGCTATGCAGGTAATTATCAGTATTGACAGTGTGACTACAAGCAAAGCCCCTTCCTGTACGCACTAAGAAAGGTGATTCACTCTATCTCCAGCTAAATACCTGAACAGATGCCTACCAGAAAGCAATAGGAGGAGAAGAGAAAATTGCTTATAATTCCGAAATAAGATTTTCCTTCCTTAATTATGTTTCTTCCTATCAATTTACTCAATGACAATGATAAGGGGAAAAACTGAAATGTATAAGAGATATTTCTTTAAAAATAAATTATACTGATGCTACTATGGGAGAGGGGGGCAAGAGAGGGAGAAATCTTTATTCCCACAGAGACACATTCTTCTAAATTCTGTAAAAGTAATTAAAGCTATTATTACTATATTCATATTTCTAGTTTACATTTTTTGCCACCAGTCCTATGTATAAATCTATGCTTATTTTAAAATGCTAAAAAAATAGGCTTATAAAGTTCTTTGGAAAGCTAAATATTTCACACTTCAAAGCATAAGTCTTAAAAGAAGCAATTTCTTGGCATTGATTTTTTAGTAAATACAAATGTTAAGAGTCCACTAATTGAAACAGAATAAGCACAAGCAAAATGAGGTAGAGTAAAGCAAATAACCAAGAGAAATGTGAATCAAATACAGTTAAGAACCAAATCTTCACTTGAGTTTAGCCATTGTTACTTTTCTACCCAATAAGTCAAAAGCATGATTCAATATAATGCATCTTTTGCAATTTTATAAACCACAAGGTTTGAAATTGTGTGTAGTCCAGACCTAGGGAAGAAAAACATTTCATAGCTCTATCATTTCAGCTAAATCACATTTTCTGCTATTGTCATCTACATGACATATCTGTTATGCTTCCAATAATACACATAATCCAGATAGCCCATTCACCAATATAGAATTTATCTGTAGAATGAATGGTTGTAGCAAGAAGAAAATAGTGCTTTATAATTTTTCTCTTTCTTGAAGCCTAACAAAGCAATTAAGAGAGGGGAATGTTTACCATTTTGATGAGTGTTTAAACAGAATGCCAAACCACGTTCTAGCTTAAATATTGTGTGGTATGATTATGTCTATGTGACAGAGATACGATACAAGATTGTCCTCTGCTGAACTATGACAACATCAAGAATGTTATTGGATGACATATAATTTAGGTTAATTCTAAAAATCCATTTGGTTTTGTAAAGAGCTTCTCACAAATGGGTCCTGCATGATTAAAATAAGTAAAGCCTCAATCAAGAGAAGTCATGCTAGCAAAATAAATTCCACCAAAATACTTTAAAACTTATTTCAAATTAGCAATCAATGGCTTGTCCACCACCTCCTCTAGTTCTCAGAAAGTATATAATACAGCACACATTAATCTAATATTGGTACTTCCCAGCTTAAATTGTATCATTCTAAATATAATTAGCCAATTACATTTTTAAAAATATGTTAATGTTAAGCAGGCATTTATATAGATAAATTCTATATAGATTTGAATAAAAGTAAAAAATACTATTTCTTGGCTGGGCGCAGTGGCTCACGCCTGTAATCCCAGCACTTTGGGAGGCCGAGGCGGGCGGATCACAAGGTCAGGAGATCGAGACCGTCCTGGCTAACACGGTGAAACCCTGTCTTTACTAAAAATACAAAAAATTATCCCGGTATGGTGGCAGGCACCTGTAGTCCCAGCTGCTGAGGAGGCTGAGGCAGGAGAACGGCGTCAACCCGAGAGGCAGAGCTTGCAGTGAGCCGAGATCGATTGCGCCACTGCACTCCAGCCTGAGCAACAGAGTGAGACTCCGTCTCAAAAAATAAAATAAAGAAAATAAAAATAAAAAACAAATACTATTTCATTAAACAATAGTAATAAATGAAGCATTTCACTTTATTACACGCATTCCAGTAACTTTGGCAAACACTGACATTTGTGGTGTTTCTTCCCCCTTCTACATGAGCTTGACAAGGCAAATTAATTTCAGATGCATCTAACTCTATGAAATTGACAAACTGCTTTTACGAAAAAACTGCAGTTATTTGCAAAAGTCTTATATTTCAAATAATAATGATAAAGGGAATTTTCTGTAGCTGAAATTACTATTCTGATAAACACATGTTAAAACATGCTAAGATGCCCTGTCTCACTTATAAATATGGAAAATTATATCTAGGCATCAATGAGACAATTTTTTTCATCTATTCATTTCTTAATATTAAAACACTTTAAGGCTGGCAAGGTGGCTCACACCTGTAATCCCAGCACTTTGTGAGGCCGAGGTGGATGGATCACAAGGTCAGGAGTTCGAGACCAGCTTGGCCAACATGGTAAAACCCCGTCTCTACTAAAAATACAAAAATTAGCCTGGCATGGTGGCATGTGCCTGTAATCCCAGGTACTCAGGAGGCTGAGGCAGGAGAATTGCTTGAACCCGGAGGCAGAGGTTTCAGTGAGCCGAGATTATGCCACTGCACTCCAGCCTGGGCAACAGAACAAGACTCCGTCTCAAAAAACAAAAAACAGAAACAAACAAACAAAAAAAACACTTTAATAGTATCCAGTATCTGCAAAAGTGTAGGGGAAGAGTAACCTCATACACACTTAGTGGGATTATAAACTAGTTTACCCTTTTTGTCAGGCAGCTTAACAATATCTAGAAATACATGTGTTTTAATGTACATAGAGAGAAGATGAATAGAAGACTGAAAGATGACACATGCCATACACATATCTGATTATTTTTATCAAGACTATGTAAAGAATATAAGAATAATTAAGTAAAAATAATCAAATTTAAAAATCAGCTACATTTATGAATAGTTTAATCAAGAGAAGAAAAACACATAATAAGTAATACATTTTTGAATAGATATTCAATCATATCAGTAAACTAGAAAATGTACATAAAAGACAAAATGAAGTTCCATTTTACAATTTTCACATTTGAACAATTAAAATATGGTGTCAAATGGCTATGGGATGTTGAGCAACAACTCTCTTGTACTACTTAGAGACTTCAGATAGGTTGAACATGCAACTCAACAATTTTAATAACAGGTAAATACCCAAGAGTAACTTTAAACATGAGCAACAGAAAGTATGTACAAGGTTGTTCTTTGTAGCAGTTTTTGTTATGGTCAAGTATTGTAAACAACATAACTTGAAAATATCAATAGGTAACTAATTTCTGTGAAATGTTCATACAAAACACTACAAAACAGTGGAAGTGGAGGGACTAAACTTACATATGCCAATAAATAAGAACATGCAAAAGGAGTCAACAGCAGAAAGGTCTGTACATGACTACACCATTTATAATGTATAGTATATGTAATAAAAATACAAAAAATAATAATTGGGGGTAATAAACACCAAATTCAGAATTGTGAGTTACTCTGGAGAGAGAGGAAGCAGATTGGGAACAGAGGAGTATTCACAACTCTGAGAGTTCAATTTTTCCTTTTTTTTTTTTTTTTTTATGAGATGGAATTTCACTCTGTTGCCCAGGCTGGAGTGCAGTGGCGCGATCTCGTCTTACTGCAACCTCTGCCTCCGGAGTTCAAGCAATTCTCTTGCCTCAGCTGCCCAAGTAGCTGGGATTACAGGTGCCCACTGCCACGTCCTGCTGATTTTTTTTCTTTTTTTTTTTTTGTAGACCGGTTTCACCATGTTGGCCAAGATGGTCTTGAACTCCTGACCTCAGGTGATCCACCTGCCTCAGCCTCCCAAAGTGCTGGGATTACAGGCGTGAGCCACTGTGCCCAGCCAAGAGTTCAATTTTTAATAATAAAGGGTGATATGACACAATCATGGCAGAATGGTAATCTTTGAAAATATTAGAGGATAGAAACAATTATGTATTATCAGTCTTTTTTCTTAATGATTGAAAATTTTAATAATAAAACTTGCACATTCCTTTTCATCCAACAATTCCATTGTTTCCATGACAGATAGACTAGTAATAGAGCATTACAATTTCTGCTCAATGATATTCATTGCAGCATTGTCTGTTTTAGCTAAAATCTAGACATTACCTAAATAGTTATGAACAGGTTAAATCAGTCATGGTCCATCAAAGTCATTAGAATACCATGCCACCGCTAAAATAATGAGATATATCTATTCTTTTTAATGTAGAAAATTCTGCAAGACATACTTTAAGTGAAAAACAAAACAAGACATCAACACTTGTGTATAGTAATACTCACTTGGTTAATAATTTTAAAATCATCTATATGCATATAAATAAATGTTGGTATACAAATTTTGGGTGGAAGTAAACACAAAAAGCTTTTTTTTTTTTTTTTTTGAGACAGAGTCTCACTCTGTTGCCCAGGCTGGAGTGCAGTGGCACGATCTCAGCTCACTGCAAGCTCCGCCTCCTGGGTTCACGCCATTCTCCTGCCTCAGCCTCCCGCGTAGCTGGGACTACAGGCGCCCGCCACCACGCCCAGCTAATTTTTTGTATTTTTAGTAGAGATGGGGTTTCACTGTGTTAGCCAGGATGGTCTCGATCTCCTGACCTCGTGATCCACCCACCTCGCCCTCCCAAAGTGCTGGGATTACAGGCGTGAACCACCGCGCCCGGCCCAGAAAAAGCTTTTAACAGAAATTATCTGTTGTAAGAGGTGTTTGTGAGCAGTGAAGAGAGGTGCTGAGGGAGACACTAACTTTTACTTTCATATCTTACAGTGGTGTTTAAATGTTTTACCATGTATACACATGTTAATACTTTTATTTTTAATATAACTGATGTTATCTTGGTACTGAGATTATGGTTCATTTTATTTTCTTCTTTATTCTGAATGCCAATATAATCTTCTTTGCAATGGAAACAAAAGAAGAGCTACTTTTAAAAAAAATACAACTAAAGCTTTGTCTATATGACTCATGAACTCATTCAACTTTGTTAAACAATTCTCTTCTAAAAACAACCAGAGAAATCACTTATTAACATGAGTGGATTGGCCTGAGAAGACAAAATGGTCAATGAAGTTTCCTCTAACGTAATAGGCTAATACCTATGGCCTTTCTTGTTTAGGTCAGACAACTGAATCTCCAAAGTGATCAAAGACTTTGTGAAATGCTATGTGAATCCTTGAATGAATGTTTATTATTATGGGGAGGGAGTTCATGGCTTGAATATGATTAGAAAAGTATCCATTATTAACAGTAAATTGTTTAAGGTGTGTGAAATGTGGTGTTAAGGGTATTGTATTGCTTATGTCATTTGGCCCTCAAAATAATCCAAAGAGGTAGGCAGTATTATTGTGTACATTACACAGAGGAGGAAACCTGATGGCGCATGAATATGTACTTCCTCAAGTCACAACCCCCCACCATTCTTACAATATATATTACTTTGTAGGAGGTGTTAGGGGCAATAACAAAATAAATATAGAATATGATTTGCATGCATTGAAAATTGCTCAGACACAACAAACCATTATTGTCTCTTAAAATTCTTCAGTTATATGTTCACTTGCACCAAGTGGCAGAGACCAGAGTTGGCTTCCATAATATGTAGCCAAGTCCTTTCTCCAATACCTGCTTATTTCACTCATGCACAGGTTGGAGAAGTGGAATTCAGTGATTAAGCTCAAAGACCAACCTATTGCCTACCCCTCACAGTTCTTCTTAAACTCTGCTAGAACAGTTCCAAAATTATGTAAGCAGGAAGGAGGTAAGTTGCAATCTATTTGAACTCCTACTATATAATTTTTCCTTAAAAGTCAAAATTTTCTTTTCAGAAAAGAATAATGTTTCTATATCCATACATAAAACTTTAAGATAAATAACAAACAGTAGGATATTCTTACTATATATCAAAACTTGAAGGTACAGTAAGGATAAATGTCTTGTATAAATTTTTCTGATTTAGCAATCAGAGGCGATAAGAGTGAAATTTTTACTCTACATTTCTATGTGATCGAGGGAAAGACTTAACTTCCCTACATAGATTATTTTAATATAAATGAGGATAGAATGAAAATGTATTCATTCTTTTATTACACAGTAGGCATGATACACATGATCATAACTTGCCCTTACCACACTAAAGCTGCCAAATATCCTTACATTTCTTTGAAAGTCCAAAGTATGCATTTCTATTTTTACTCCTTGTCACCATTCTCAGTAGACAGACAATGTTGAAAGAAACTTCCAATTTTCTTTCATGTTAAAAGAAAATACAATATGTAAGTATTTTTGAATCTGTTCCTATCTCTTTTCATAACTTTTGATTCCTGTGAGAGTGGAAACATAGTTTTGTGAGGTTTTTGCTTTGATGAGGGTGGGCTAGGTCATTTACAAAATATATAGTAATCACATGACATTTGTAAATTTTATAAAATTTCTTTTATCCAAAAGAATTATGCTTTTAATATTAAACAGTGGAACTTCAGTGACATCTTCTTATATTCTGCCGCTATCACCATTTTGCAGAACTCATTCCAACCATCTTCTTAAAGATAAGATAGTAATTGGACTCAAATGAATTACTCAGTCCTATTTACCATTTTGAAAATGATGATCCAAACTAGGAAAATTTTTAAATCTTACAAGGAAACTTGAAAATGTGAGTCACTTTGATTTTCTTGTTAGATTTTATCCAGAAGACAAAGCTTTGCTTATTATAAGGTCTTCTATTTTCCTGATTGCAATCTCATTTCCCTTGTCCTTGAAAAAACACATTTGCAGTGACTTCCAGCTTGTTAAATATTCAGCAGAAAGTTTATGGACTTTCCCATAACCTTGATTAAAAGCCTTCTGGGAAACTAAATGCTGAAAGAAGAACTTTATTTGAAAAGCAACTTAAGTGCTCCATGCTGATTTCTGTTTCACTAATAGTACATATAATCAGCAGTCACTGACATAAAATGAGGACAGAGGTAAAATGTTGAAAAGCAATCTTTCTCTTTTCATGAGTTACTGTAGTAGCAGACTAAACGAGATATTTACAACTTGATTTAGCAGAAAGAAGAGATTTATTTTTAAACCCCCAGGAGATATGCATAAAATGACTTGCAGATTCACACTCTACAAAACAAACAAACAAACAAACAAACAAACAAAAAAACGTAAATGCCCGGACACATATCCCAGTACACACGTATAAACAGATACTCAGAACACACAGTAATGACACATGAAACAACTCATGATGTTTTGAAACAAAATAACTAGGAGTTTTGAAAACTTTAAAGGTGAAGATCTAGGTGAAAATTAATAATTAAGACTAATTTAAGATGAGCTTCTTGTATTTTATTAGTGATTTTTGGTTTATCATTTATTCGTTGTATTCTTTTGTTCTGGAAGTTCTCCATTATCAGTATCTCAAGAGGCAAGGTAGTAAAATTTCCAGAATTTAAATGCACTATTCATCTTCAATTAGAATCTTTGGTATATATACATATATATACACACACGCACACACTTTTGGCAAATATATGAAATTATAAACATGTATAAAATTTCAAATGCATAGTTGAAAATACAATGTTAATTACTTGTCTTGTATTTGCCTAAGAAGCAATTGTGTAATTTAGCAGTTGTTCCTTATAGATGCTGTTTAAGTTGTCTGTTTACTCTGTTGATAGTTATTTTGCTGTGCAGAAGCTCTTTCATTAAATTAGATTCCCATTTGTCAATGTTTGCTTTTGTTGCACTTGCTTTTGTGGTCTTGAAATCTTTGCCAGTTCCTATGTCGAGAATGGATGCTTAGGCTGTATTCCAGGGTTTTATAGTTTGGGGTTTTACATTTAAATCTTTAACCCACCTTGTGTTGATTTTTGTATACGGTGTAAGGAAGCAGTCCAGCTTCAATCTTCTGCATATAGCCAGTTATCCCAGCACCATTTATTGACTAGGGAGTTCTTTCCCCATTGCTTCTTTTTCTCAGCTTTGTCAAGGACCAGATGATTGTATGTGTGTGGCCTTACTTCTGGGCTCTCTATTCGGTCCCACTGGTCTATGTGCCTGTTTTTATACCAGTACCATGTTGTTTTGGTTACTGGATCCTTGTACTATAGTTTGAATTAGAGCAGTGTGATGCCTCCTGCTTTGTTCTTTTTAAGATTTGCCTTGGCTATTCAGGCTTTCTTTTGGTTCCATATGAATTTTAAAATAGCCTTTTTCTCGTTCTGTGAAGAATGTAATCGGTAGTTTGATAGGAATAGAATTGAATCTGTAAATTGCTTTGGGTAACACGGTCATTTTAATGATATTGATTCTTCCTATCCATGAGCTTGGAATGTTTTTCCATTTGTTTGTGTCACCTAGGTTACAGAGTTATTGACAGAACCTAGACTGTATATCAGGTCCCCTTTTTTCTAATCATATTCATTCCACTGAATATACAGTACCAAATATTTGTGCACGTGTTAATTTGATAACGGAATTAATCTTTCCTTCAAAAGCAGAAAGGAGTAAAGGACATGAAGGATTAATTCATGTAACCAGCTTAAGGCCATTTACTTTTTCACAAAAATGATTATATCTCTTTACAGCCATTTTTACATTTGCTTAAAGTAAAAACGTAGATCCAAGGACAAAAAAGCAGAATACAAATGAAGCGTTATCATTTGATCCATAGTAATTTTTCAAAACTTCAAATTATTGCTTCCAGAACCCTCATATTTGCCTAAAACTATCTTCATTAGATATATTTATACTTGTTATATATCAGCACAGGCTGAAGTCTGATAGGACATTCAGCATTCCAGATGTACAGAAGTTTCGTTACTAACTTCAAGATAAAATCCTTTAAAACAAATTGCATTGATTAAAAAACATAGTCATTATGCTTCCTGTGGAATTTTTTTAATAAAAGATGGCATATTGCCTTGTGGTTACTAGCAATAAATCACCTTAAAATATTACAATGAAATGGCTTGGTCTCATGTAATACAGCCATTGTAAAGAAAATTATAAAAATATTCTTAAAATTTGCAATGAAACACTCTTGTGATGAAGTAAAACAAAATTGTGCTGCCATGTCTACACAAGAAAAAAATGTAATATTAAAAATGTTTTACTTCCGTGATGATTTGGAGTTATAAAGATGCCAAGTATACTATTATTCCTTCCTGTTGAGAGTTAGTTTGCTTCATCTTCAATATATTCAATATTCCTCCACACCTTGAGGAGGAATGTTTATTTGTGCTTATGCCTATGTGACAATAAGCCTGATTATAAGTTTGCAATGACACATTATCAATCTACTTTTTCTAACATCTCAAAAAGTAGTCTGTACATTTAAATATGAAAAAAGGAAAATGTTGACTATATATTTATTATTGCTGGTGCTATTGTAAGATGTGAAACTATTCATCTCTGGGGAAACTTTGGATGGTTAATTTGAGAATGCTAAAATAATTTGAAACAAATAAAATAATCAGTTTTAAACTGCATGAAGTTCTAATTCCAATGAGCCACAATGTTCTTAACTTGGCTATCTTTGATTCCTACCATGGAATAGAAAAAGCCACATAGTGTGAGAGATGAAAACACACCTGCCTACAATTTCCTTAAGCATCTATATTCAGAAAACATCATGCATACTAAAAACATAGACTTCCCTTCATTTTATGCCCATTACACTCAAGGCACAAAGCCTCATAAAACATACTGGGAGAAGGAGATTGCAATGAAAATGAATGGTGATAATTAAAAAAGATGCAAGAACAAATAATCAGTCAATATTTTTTCACTCTTTGGAATTAAACTAGGATATATAAGTAAGCAATGAGATAAAAAAAAGAAATAAAACTTACACATAATCAGCAGTTACCTAATTAAAGTTCCTATCATAGAATATATCCACATTGAATAGCTAAGCAAATATGTTTCCCAAAACTATGAGAACTTTAACAACAGGACGTTTCTTTTCTATGACTCAATTGCATACACAACAAACAAATTCTTCTGGATATAGGCAAAAGTGGTCAAATAAAACAGTCCAGCACCCCACATTCAATGGAAAACTTATCTGCATCTTTTTTGTCTACTTCCTGTGACTTTCTTGGCTTCCTTTGTTCACCTTTCCCAGTCTGATAATTGTTTGCAAAAGTTGACACATCAACACTAGCAATGATCCAGAAGAATTCTTAATCTGCTTGAGTTAATAGGAATCACAATGACTTCACCTGCAGAGATGTTTGCTGACTTGATTAGTTGACAGCGCAGCTGGTACTCTGCTTTGCGAATGCCCTATCTGCCCTGTTATTCTTCTGATCAGTTTCCTAGAAATGAAGAGCTTGCCTATAGTTGAACACCTAAAATAAAAATGGCATTTATATTCACCTAGATGACATGGGTGACGTATAAATGGAGTGCATTGTTTTTCAAATAAAAATTATCAGAAAAAGGCCGGGCACGGTGGCTCACGCCTGTAATCCCAGCACTTTGGGAGGCCGAGGCGGGCGGATCACGAGGTCAGGAGATCGAAACCATCCTGGCTAACAAGGTGAAACACTATCTCTACTAAAAATACAAAAAAAAATTAGCCGGGCGTGGTGGCCAGTGCCTGTAGTCCCAGCTACTCGAGAGGCTGAGGCAGGAGAATGGCGGGAACCCAGGAGGTGGAGCTTGCAGTGAGCCGAGATCACGCCACTGCACTCCAGCCTGGGCAACAGAACGAGACTCCGTTTCAAAATAAATAAATAAATAAATAAATAAAAATAAGATGTGTGGATTTTTGTGCGCATGTACACATTTGTGTGTGTGGACAGATATACAGAAAGAAGAGAAAGTCTCTTTATTGAAGAATCAAGCAAATATGTACTGACCTTCGAAACTTTCTATAATGCTTTTCTGCACTTTACTATGAGAATTATCTCAAAGTCTCTATAATACAAACTCCAGTATGGTAAAATTTTATGTATCTTAAAATATAATACAATGTGTCTGAGGCTTTAGGACAGATTGTCATGAGTTATTTTAATGCCTCAGTTTATCATGGCCAATTGCTGCTCTGCTCTCCTTCATCTTTACCTGGGTCAGCTGCTAAGCACATTTGTTAGAACTTTGCTACCCAAAGTGTAGCCCCCACACCAACAGTATTCACATACCCTGGGGACTTGTTAGAAATGAAAACTCTCTGGTCCCTATACCCAACTGCTGAGTTTGCATTTTAACAAAATTTCTAGGTGGTCTGTATGCATTTGAAACTGAAAAGTGCTGTGTGAGAATATGATTATCTTATAATTTTTTTTTTTTTTTTGACATGGAGTCTGGCTCTGTCACCCAGGCTGGAGTGCAGTGGCGCTATCTCAGCTCACTGCAAGCTCCGCCTCTCGGGTTCACGCCATTCTCCTGCCTCAGCCTCCCGAGCAGCTGGGACCACAGGTGCCTGCCACTAGGCCCGGCTAATTTTTTATATTTTTAGTAGAGACGGGGTTTCACCTGTGTTAGCCAGGATGATCTCAATCTCCTGACCTCGGGATCCGCCCGCCTCAGCCTCCCAAAGTGCTGGGATTATAGGCGTGAGCCACCACGCCCGGCTAAAATATTTTTAAATGCTGTAAATATATGTATATATGCAGACAAATACATGCACTTTCATTTAATACAACAATGCTACAAAGCAACTGCTTTTATTATTCTCATTTTAAGGATGCACAAAGCTGAGGCACAGGAAGCCTAAATGTCTTGTCAAATGTCATACTACTAGGAAGGAGCAGACTTGATATTCTCTTCTAGGCAATCTGGTCCCACTCCAATAGAATGCTTCTCTTCATAACGAGTTATTTAGTCTTATATACTTTAATAACCACTAAAATGTGTTTTGTAGATAAGAGACTAAGAAAGAAACAGAATATAAGAGAATTAAACATATCTGCATCTCTTACGGGTATTAAAATTCTCTGATTTCAAAAAAAATCTTTTTGGGAGTAGACAAAGAAATTCATGGTCTTTTGAAAACAAGGTCTCTGAAGGTCAACTTTTTTTTTTCTTTCTGCAAAAAATAGTATTGCTAAAGCAGCTCTGAAAGTTCAGTTTCAAGCATATGATAAATTTCCCTTGTGCAGTGAAATTCCAATTCTCTGCCCTGAAAGCAGTATGTTTTTACCCTGTATTGAGTACTAACACATAGACAGATTCACTTCAGACTGTTGGGCATTATGGGATCTTTCTAGATGAAAGGTTTTTTTACTTAGCCACAGTTCATATCCTTTGAAACCCTGAGGGGATATTTGCCAAAGTTACATGGGTATTGAATTGGGCTCACTTTGTTTAAGATCTTTCGCCATGATATTTGGATTTCAGATATTATATTTCATAAGTTAAGCTGTTTTGCAAAAATGTAATGGCTAGTTATTTCAGAAGGGAAGACTTAATAGTTCAATACTATGGCACTTTGAATTGAAATTTCAATATTTGGATTTAATTTGGGTCAAATCCTAAAACTCCAGTTTTCTACTTGAATAAAAACATATTTGTGTGAAATTTTTCAATGTATCCTGTTCTTCTGTCCAGTATAATTCATAATCAACTGGGGGAAGAGAAATTAGAAAACATTATTACTGCAAAGTTTGCAATGGATTTAAGCTAGTAAAAGTAGCTTTTATAGAAGATTATCTGAACGAAGAAAACAAACACAAACAGCTGAATCAAATACATGATTTATCCAACAACTGAGAATGCCTTTGGTGCATTCATATATCAAAAATATCTCTAATGAGTACTCTGTCCTTGTAACTACAGTCTGAATGAGGCAAAGATCCCTGAATTCCTTGTTAATATTTAACTTAGTCTTTAAAAATCAGATTAATTAGCTACATTCTTTAAAAGAATGTAGAAGACATGTATGTACCTCTGTAAAGTTGACTCCTCTCAGGTTGCAGTGAGCTGAGATCGCGCCACTGCACTCCAGCCTGGGTGACAGTGAGATTCCGTTCCCCCACCCCCCAAAAAAAAAATTGACTCCTTCTTCAAATCAAATTTAAGAGGCATTTCTGCAATATGAGGACACACACTTTCCAAAGAGACAGAATACAGTTAAATGGAACAATCAGTTAGAAAAAATTGTCAGGTTCAGTTTTAGATTAAGTTACATGCATAAATCTAAGGAAATCACAGTCTAAACTCAGCCCTGGAAAACAACATCATTAAAATAAAAATTATAGTGAGCCAAGTGAACCTTGCAATGCACTATTGATAAGCCAAGGAGTAGGAGTAGAATCTTCTAAAAGTTAATTAAAACTCACTGTTTTTTTTACATGCTTCAATAATATTGTCCTATAAAACTAATGCTATTTTCAAGATGATCAAGTATTCTTCTCAAAATATTTTTATTTTTGCATGACTTTCTTAATCCAGAGCATCAATTTCTATGATGTCATCTATTAGTATAAATAAAAGCTAACAGACTTTATATGTAAGACAAACTTCATATAACTTAATGGATTGAGCAGAGTACAACTCCTTTTCATCTCTAGGATAAACAACTAGAGATGAAAAGGAGTTGTACTCTGCTCAATCCATTAGAACTAGAACTAGAGATAAAAGCAGGAAAGCAGGATAACTTTTTTTTTTTTTTTTTTTTTGAGACAGAGTCCCTCTGTCACCCACCCAGGCTGGAGTGCAATGGTGCCATCTCGGCTCACTGCAATCTCCCCCTCTCAGGTTCAAGCGATTCTCCCACTTCAGCCTCCCAAGTAGCTGGGATTACAGGCACCCACCATCATGCCCAGCTAATTTTTGTGTTTTTGTAGAAATGGGGTTTCACCATGTTGGCCAGGCTGGGCTTGAACTACTGATCTCAGGTGATCCACCCATCTCGGCCTCCCAAAGTGATGGGATTACAGGCATGAGCCACCGTGCCCGGCCAAAAGCAGGATAACTTTTATAGGACATTTATATAACTATAAAAGTTATCCTGCTTTCATCTCAAGTTCTAATCATTATCCAAAAAGGACTATTATAATAGGGTTTACCCAAAACATTTTGACTATATGGCACACTATTAACTCAGTCGATTGAGTCTATGAATATCAATTCCTTGTTAACTGAGACTTCATTCTTCTGGAAAGTAGAAGTAGCATAGAGTTACACAGGAATTTCATATAGAGGAAGAGCTGAGTTTACAGCAGAATGCATAAAAGATATATTCACATATTCTGCGTTTCTCCTCCTGGAGATTCTGTTTATGCACTTTTCATCATATTCAAAGGAAATTTACCTTCTAAAATTCATTTTTTAATTCCAAGTTGTTCTGGAAGTAATCATACACACACGTACACACAATTTAACTACATTAGATAAGCATAGTGAAAAGTGGCTAGTTTTCCTGACATAGAGATCATTATCATTCAGCATGTTTACAGTTTTTTCTGCAGTACTTTCACTGGTTAGCACAAACAGTAATTTTAGAAATCGGCAGTCTGTATTGCTCCAAATGCTCTTTCAGGGCATTTTTAAAACAGGAACCTTTTTAAAAAAATAAAGGGCCTCATCACATATAAAAAAGTTCTCCATTTGGATATATTGTAACAGTCCCCTTGAGTGATGATAATGCTAAATTTTATACTACTTTTCTCTCATGAGTTGTTTCATTTAAATTTCAAAAGTAGCTGCTTACCAACATTAGTGACTCTTATTTTAGAACACGATAAACGATACACTTCAAATCTTAATTTAGAACATTAAGTTGTTGCTTAAAAGGGCCAAATCTCAGTTATCTCATTTGCATAATGAGGGAGCTGGACTAAATAGCACCCAAGGTCCCTGAGAGCTCTAGAATTTAAAGACAATGTAAAAGGCAACACCTGCACATGTAAATTCTGGGATTTTAATAGTTACAAAATTATGACCCTAGAAGGGGCACTAGAGATTCGTATAATCCCTTCATTATATAAATTAAGAAAAAGAGACAGTGAAGTTAAAAGACCTATCCAAGTTCACAGAGCTAGTTAATTGTAGTAAACGGACTAGAGTTCTGTAATACGTAAGATGATTGCCTAAAACAAATTATCTACAATGGTCTGTGCTGAAAAGGTTTCATGAATAGTGATTACACAAAGAATTACCGCAATAAAAATTTGTATTCAATGTTCAAATATTTTTATCGTATAATTAGATACCCCAAAATAATATTTAAAATTACCAGCCTTTCAGGTCTATACAAATTGCAAGAGAAGAATTTTCTAAGAAAAAACTAAACTTTTAATGGCTTATTTCATATACACTATTCAGAAAAAGTTTGTTTAGATAACATACAAACATTTCCAATATAAGATTGATTAATGCCAGATAAAGACCATGTACCTAGTGGAACTGGGAAAACAATTTCTAAGATTATTGATTAAGAGAGAGAAAAAATTGGCTAAGCGAACACTGTTATCTCTATTCTATTCTCTATTGGGCATCTTCAATATTCAATAAAATGTAAATTAAAAAATCATAGAAATCATGGTAAGACAGATGGTCTATAGTTATTCATTTTTTAATGAATTCCTTGATATATTCACCAGTTGTTGAATGTTCTGTTGATGAAAGCAATCATGAGAGTTGCAAGTTATTGTCCAATTTTAAAAGTGTCATGGGGATTAAAAATATGTTGCTATAATACTCCTCATTCATTAAAATTTATAAATCATTTTAAAATAAGAAGTTGATGTGTGGCTAACACTACTAAATATTCCAAGTCACCCAAATGCTACATCTTGAATGACTGATTATACTGACTTTCAAAGAACTACAAAAAATAACAAATGGCAAATAGTCTGTCTTATAGGCAAAGGAAAGTGAGAAGTAAGATTTTTTAAAAAGCAGAAGAAAGAATGTTGTCATAAAATGAATCGCCTCATGGCTCATAAATTATAGAAACACAAATGTTAAATGACCTTTATTATTTGGTGTAGGAAGCTTAATAAAATTTAGAAGCAAGAGAAGGTTTATTGTGAAGAGAAGGCCACCTATTCTCTGCCACTTTAGGTGATTATTCAAGCTTATTGACATTCCAGACCTATGGCATTGGCTTTCAACTGGCAGCTTGTGCCAGTCTCCTAGTGCTTGTCACTTTCAAACAGAAAAGACAAGATAAGAGATTGCTTTACTTATAGTGGCCTGCTTTTGAGTGATCAACCTCTATCTAATCCATATTATATTTAAGATATTAAAGATACACTCATCTTAGAGACTGTCACCCAAATAAAATCCTGTAAATGTCTTCAAGTCTCCAACTTTAAAGATATACTTCTCATTTTAATTCATGACCTCTATAATTGTTTAAAGATTATCTCTAGCATAAAGCTTTTGTTGCCTTCCCAAAGCCTATATACTCCAAATTAGCAGTCATTTTTCAATTGGTCTACATTGAGATTGCATCTCTTATATAGGGAAGTTGAATATGATAGGATGGTATCGTAAGACGTGTTTTACCCATTTTTCTTATTATAATGTATTTATAAACTTTCAGAAGCTTCAATAGAGAAAGATTTACTTTTGAAAAGCATGTCAGTTTAAATGGTAAAATTAATATACATCACAGAGCATCTGCTACCAGATCACTGTTTATACCTGCCTAAGCACATTTATTATAAAAACTACTGTCACTACCAAGTATACCTTATTCTCTCTAAAACAATGGCAGATGGCTGAACTCTTGGGTGGAACCATTCTTTATAACCTATTTATATATAGATACTTTTCTAACACTATTTACATAACACATCACGGACTAAAATAAACTGGTAATAATCATTGACAGTATCAATTATTACAATGATATTTCATTTGAAAAAGAATAAAAGTGACTTTGATATTATTGTTACCTTAAAAATATTAATAAATATTAAGGAAATTTTTAAATTTTCAGTAGCAGCATAAAGCTATATATTGTTTTCTCTTGGCAAGGCAATGAAATAGAGCAGGCATATGTCCTATATTTCCAGAACCCGGGGCCATGGAGTTCAACCTCTTTCTTGAAATAGACCATAACTGATATCATTGATAATGATAACATCACTCCTTAGAAATACTGATTGATTCATTTTTCAAAACACATGACATTAAGCTTGCTGAGCTGATTTAAATTATTTTACTCCCCCCTTTCTACCATGGACTGACACTATTATATAGGCTACTGAGCACAGTTTTAAGAAATAATCTTACAAATACATAGCCTACAGAGTCAGAATTGGCCTTGCTATGTAATTAACCTTTAAAGGGAGCATAATTTCTTTTTGTTAAGTGGAATATATTTCCCATTTGTTTCATGTAAAAATATTAACAAAATGATGCATTCACTTTTCTTTTTATTGTAATACATGAATTGATATGTGACTTTCGTCAAAAATGCATTTTAAAGAAATATTAGAAAGCCTATGGAGTCAAATTTTCCTGGGCATATAGCAGCAAACAAAAACACTTAATTAACAGTTATACGGGTAATATTAGCTGAACTGTGGACTCAGATGATTTTCTGCCACATCAGAAGTGTTACTCTTCTCTTAAATATACTAACCAATACTACTCCTTTTTTCTATAATTGAATCATATTTTCTCCTTGAATTTTTTAGATAAATAATTAGATCACTGCTTTCCCCAAGGTACTAGTATATCAATATTTTCCAGGGAAAAATATTTCCATGGCTTTATTTTGCTTTTAGACAACTGACTCCTAATGTTTTTAATTATGAAAGGCTGAGTTTTAATGACCCATTACTAGCTTATTCTTTTAACGTTTCACAGTTTTTGGTTTTGATTTTTTAATTTTACCAGTAGTCTATGTTTAGAATTAGATATTCAAATAATGAGATGTTCAAACACTTACTAGTAATTACCCTAGTGTTATTCATGTCAATACTCTTAGCAGATCAGGAGAAAATCTGGCATTTCTCTGAGTAGAAATTCATTCTAGTCAATCAAATTGGTCTCCCACTTTTTATACCAATTTATTGGATTACTGGTAGAAGATCAATCAAAGTGCCTTGCCAGGGAAAGATTAATTACTTCCTTGTTGTGAATTAATTAGTAGTGTATTTGAGTGCTAAGCAAACCTGATCTACTGAAATAAAAATGAATGTCAAACAGATTTGCTAACATGAGATAAACTCTAGCAGACATCATTTTAATAAAAACATATATTGATCTTTATTTTAAACATATAATTTTTTAGCCCTAAATGTTCTTGAAACTCTATATTTTCTTCTTTTGTATCACAGAAATGACTATGTTATACAAAAAGAGGAAAAGCATTAACTTTTTTGGGGGAAGATGAAGAAATTTCACTCAAGTATTTTGTTACTTTAAGATTCAATGCTGGACACTAGACCAGCTATAACATTTTCAGATAGAGTGACTTCATGCGTGAAATGATCACATACAATGAAGAGGTTTTAAAAAATACAGATGACATAACTTGTTCAGTTGAAGAAAATTAAAATACTGATATAAACTAAATCATTCTCCTCTTCATTTTAGGGGGATTTTTCTCTGCAATTGTACTGATTTATGACTAGAAAGCTGAAGACTGATTTGAGCCTCTTTAGCAATACTCTATTTCACCATTTATCTTCCAAAGAATTATGGCTATTTTATTTCTTCCAATGAAGCTGGAAAATTATAATATGCCAGCAGATCAGTAGAAATGTAAAAATATTAGTAGTTACCCTTTTAGATCCAACTTACCTGTAGTGAAATAGCAGCAATGCATTCTCTATTTGAGGACAAAACATAAAAACCCTGGCTTCATAAACATAGAGTATTAAAAAATCTCAGAAGTTTAATGTGTAGACATTTGCTAATATTTCTGTATGTCTCAGCACTCAGTCTGAATTATAAAAACAGAAAAAAAATTTAGAAAACAAATTGGAAAGCATTTTTAAATCATATCCTCAAAAATCATATTTTACCTGAGACTACTTAAAAATAAGTAGATAGGAGCATAGGGCCATACATAGTTTAATGTGTTTACAGTAGTCCCAAGAGGATCTCACTATCCTCAAATCTCTGAGTTAACACTATACCTGGATATGTAAAATCCTCAAAAGTAGACTCACAACTTGTTCTTTACCAGGGCCACATGTGTCTCCATGAATGTGTCTCAAGAAAATCCTTTGAAAATGCAGACATTATCTGTTCCAGTATCCACAGTAACCCAGCAGCAATCAATAGTGCTGTTTTTGAATTGGGTTTCTATTTTGTTTTTGCTTTTTAACAAATTAACTAGCTTCA
The DNA here is from genome assembly GCF_000001405.40 of Homo sapiens. Taxonomy (NCBI): domain Eukaryota; kingdom Metazoa; phylum Chordata; class Mammalia; order Primates; family Hominidae; genus Homo; species Homo sapiens. The sequence continues at coordinate 5,504,519 of NC_000024.10, read as the reverse complement.
AAGAGCAGGGTTCATTGTAAATAATCTGATGAGGCTATGGTAGGAGGAAAGGTCTAGAATATAAGCTGTCATCCAAGGAAGACAGAACTGTATAGAATGGCATTAAGTGACCCTTAGTCCAATGGCCACAGTAAAGAGATTGCAATTATAAAATTTAAAAATTACAAAGTCTTCAGATGGAATGAGACAGGATATTTTATTGACTTTGTCTCCTCAAAAAGTAATAATTGGCTTGAGTTTGTTTTCTTTATTTTAAAAAGAAAAGTTAATAGTCTTGGCAAAAGACTTAAGAGAATGAATTGTGTGATTTCTTCACCTAAGCAGCAGATTTTTATCAACCAGGGAACTATATTTTTAAAGCAGTATTAATAAATCCCTCTAGCAAATTTTACAGAATACCCTTATTCATAAATGTCATGTTTATTCCTGTTTTGTGAATTTACAAAGGATTTGCAGAACTATGTGCTATTTTGGCAATTCACTAGCAAGAAAGAAAGCAGATTGAAGATGTAATACATTTCAAAATGTGAAATGGGAACTGCATAAATTAATTCCATTGCTTAAGGACAGCATTTATTTCCTCTAACACTTTACATTCCTATCAGTGGTGCTATTGACAAACAATGCACAGTTTATTGGCATCTGCTCCATATCATAAAACCCATTATCGGGTGCTATTTCAGAGCTATAGCTTTGCTTTTTGAAGAATCAAAATACCTTATCATCAGTATTAGCCTAAAGAGATTACTTTGCTATGGCCAATTCTAAACCAGCTATGTTTTTTCTTTTTAATTAAAACAACACACACACACTCACACACACACACACACACACGTACTATGTTAAACATTTCACTACCGTGACACATTAAGACAATGGAGCTTCATTTCAAGTAAATTATTGTGCTTCTTGCACTTTTAGTAAGGTCTCTGACTGTCCCAAAACAAAACTCCTAACAAAAATTTTCTTGGAACATGATTTAGGGGGAGGTTTCACATTTAGTAGGAGAGCAGTTTGTTAGTATTATTCATAGTAAAAAAATAACATTTAAACATTCGCTTAACAATATTGTTAGACTTGTAGAAAATGGGCATTCATTTTTAATTATATCTACCCTTTGCATAAGTTTATTAAAATAATAAGCAGCAAAATATACAATTTGTTTTACTATTATCATTGCCCACAGACATCTAGATTTTAAAATAAAATCGATTGAGCAACTAAAGTTTTTAATGCAAATTTTGTGAGTCCTTCATCCTGTAGAGTAAATATGAACAAGATATTTAATGTTCAAGATAATAGTGTAAATATAATTAGAAGAGAGAAATGTTTAGCTCCTAACAGAAAGCACCCTTTTTTAAAAAAAGCCCCTAAGTATGTCAGCTAATACATTGATGCTAGCACTTATATCCTTAACTATAAACAAGACCAGCTTCTGTTAAGAACTATGCATTTGAATACTTTTTAAAACAACTACTTATTTCTAAATATAATTGGGATTAATAAAGCTATATTTAATGTTAAATGTTTTACTATTTCTGACACATACCAATTCTCCTACTATTATCAACAGTATTCCATTTGAGTCTCATTCAGTTGGAATTTTATTTCAGGGTGAGATGTGCACTGTGGATGCTTACTCTGAGTTTACTCTTTAATTGTTGCTATGCAATCCTCTATGAAAGAGGCTTAGTAACACATCATGTACAAATGAATCAACTCTTTCTAGTTTATAAAAATGATACTTATCCCATTTCTATATTCTTATTTAACAGGGCATGATAGACCTACAACTAAAACAATGATTTATGGAGGAAAGAAGATCAGTGGCACCCTTGCTTAATGTGTATTTGTTACTTATGATCATATTCTTATTAGAGATTAACTCTTAGTTCATTACACAAGTAAATATAATCACAACTATGTATTTCTACCAGGAGTCATTTTGCTGTGCTAAACAAAGTAAATTAAAGATAGTTTAGTGACACAAGGTATAGGGGAATTTTTTATCTTCAGAACAAATGTTGATCATTTATTCCAAGTATAAAATTGAAAATGGAGATAGTAGATTTTTAGGACTGTCTGAACTTGCTGACTCAAAAGTCTCTAATATTTTTACATTAAAAATACCTATAATATATAGCATCTACATCTGTAGAGAGAAAAAGTTGATGTTATGTTGTCATTGGTTCCATATGTTTAGCCTTAGATTATATCATAATGTTTAGCCAATCCATTTCCCTATTTTTTGAAGTTTCAAAAATAGAGGATTAAAATACAATGATAGGGAAGCTATTTTGTTCTAAAGCCTAGAAGCTTTATTTGAATTATACATCCCTGCAATCCATAATGCTCAAAATAACCTTTCAAAATGTCTAGTTTATATTACCTTATTTATGTTTTTGCCAGGTATTTGGCCCATTTTTTTTCATATTGGTTTATGGCTATGACTTTTTTCTCACATATATTGTATGCTTTTTTGTATCTACATACTTTTATGTACATAACATAAATGGAGCAAATTGTAGCTTCTTGCAATTTCAAGACTCTTCCGAGAAATATATATCTTATCAAATTTTGTATTTCCTGAAATTATAAATCAGCAAGGTTGTTCGCTACACGTTCAAGATAATACATTTAATGAAATTTTATTTAATATCAACTCTATGATCCTTTTAAAGAGTTCAACATCTTTGGAATTTGCAAAACACAGATTTTGTGCCTTCTGTCTGAAGACCAAATGTGAATACCTTTCTAAACAGTAACATGGCACAGGTGTGTGATTTCAGTATATTGCTGAAAACCTCAGATGCCCTCTCCTACATTGGAGTCAGGATCTCTTATTTCCTCAGAAAGAAAATAACTGTCAATGGTTTTTATCTCTAATAAAAATAAAAATAAAATCTAGGAAATATTTTTATATATAAGAAAAAATTTATACCTTCACAAATAAATGAATAAAATAAAATAAATTGGCTGTTTATATACAAATAAATTACAGGTGTACATAAATGGAAAATTCTATCTATGCCTTAACAAAGTCACTATAATAAATTTCATTCAGCGTAGTTATGATCATACATTTAAAATATTATAAACTGCCTTATACTTGCCATCCATCTAATTCTGTATGTTTACCTTTCAAAAATGTGTCACTATTCACAATAACATAATAAATTAGCCCATGTTATTATGGCTATGATAGCTTGAGTTGCAAACACAGTAAGCCCGTTTATATTGAGGAACCAGAGAGGTATCACTTACTAGATTCAGGATCGGAGTTGCCATCCCCTTCAGTGCGATTGCTGGGTGTAGCACGATCAAAGTACTCCTCCTGAGGATAGCCAAGGGGCAGGCCATGGGATGTGCTGGTAAGGCTGCCTGCATCATGGTCTCCCAGTCCACCATCACTGCTGCTTTCCTGAGAGCCTTCTGGCAGGTGAAATGTGACACGCCGCTGGGACTGAAAGGGAGAATGAAAATTACAGGGTTTCAGATATGATCTGAATCATTGCTTAATGCTGCAATTTAGAAAATGCATTATTTCGGCTATCTGGTGAAGACACATTAACATTATCTTGAGTTGTGAACAATTTCAGGCTTTTGTGAATAACACAATTCTGTGTTCAAACCTTCTTCACCTGAAGGCAGTGTTGCTTCCATTATATTTCAAAACAAGGCACAGCCAGATGCAGAATGAAAGTCAACTTGTTCTAAAGCAAGAGACAGTCAGCTTTATAGCACATTTGAGCAAACTGGAAATTCCAACCATAATTTTAACATGTATTTATTTAGGTATTATTTGGCAATAACTTATTTTTTGAGTAATAAATGTGGATAAATATAACCATACTTTTTTGCTGTATCTGTAAGTTGCTAGTGAGCTGAAACTGTGAATAATAACACAAATTTATTCAATCATGTAGGCTTAGAAAACTAAAAGTACATCATCCTTTAGAAGAATCTTAGAGACAAAATTTTGAATTGGAATTTATTTAAATTGATTTTACTTTCTAAGAAAAAAGTAATTACATAATATGGATAACAGTTAATGGTAATTATGAAAACAAATTATAGTTATCATCATAAATGGTATTCCTAGCAGAATATAAAAATATATATACAAATAAAAAGATAAAGATGAAGCATTTGGTTTCCGAAAGAAGAAGTTTGTAACATCTTCACCAGATCTTGTAGCAGCATTTTTGTTTGCAGCATTGCTATGCTATATGTAGTAGTCTCCAAAAATAGGCTCCCCAATGGACATCACCTCTTGATATTCAGACTTTCAAGTAGCCTGAGACCACATTGAATCTGCACAGACTCTGTAATCAAACCCTGTAGCTTCTGCTTTGCACCCTTGGAAAACTCACCATGGAAAATTACAGCTGCATTGAAAGTAGTTTGAGTACTGGGAGCATGCCATACTGTGGGGAAGCTCAAGCTAGCTTCGTGGAAAGACTGTATAAAAAGAGACTACAATGCCGAGAGAGGCCCAGCTGTTCCAGCCACTCAAGTTCAGGTGCCGGATATGTACATGAAGAATCCATTATGAACATTCCAGCTAGTGGCCTTATTGGAGTCATCCTAACTATCTTCAGACATTTGAGCACCCCCTACTTAAGGCAGCAGTCATTGTGGAGTAGAAATAGCTATATCTGCTGTACACTACCTAAATTCCTGACCTAAAAATTAAGAAGGACTATTGATTTTTATGTCCCCAAAGATTACTGATGGTTTGCTATGTAACAATAGATCAACCAAAGCACTAAACTACTGGCAGCATGAAAGCTTCAAATTAGGTATAATTTATTTAAGAGATTTGCATATATCAAAGATGAGAAGAATTTACATCCTAGGCATTTTCATAACAGAATGCATATATTTTCACAAATTCAGGTCTAACAGTCAGCCATTTCTTCAGATGGAGCTATGAAAAGATTTGAATATCATACTTCAAACTTATTGGAAGATATATGAAAATATAATAGATGCATAAAATATTTAAGTAGCTCACTTGAATCTTCTTTAGTTTTTAGCCATTATTTTTTATATTAAAGTCTCAATAAAATAGGAGAAAATGACTAATGCATGTAATATGTAATATATATTATGGAATATGTTTCTGAACATAAAATTACTTCTTCTAATGAGAAATAGTCTGCTGATTTTCTACATGTGAGTGTAACAGCCAGACAGGATTCCTTTGGGCCTCTCAGAGGGAGTAGTGGGTGGTGTTGGTTAAGGTAACTCTTAGCAGAATTAGTATGAGCAGAAAATAAACTGAATAAAAGAAAAGCTTGCTGGAACTAAGTAATATTGAGGAGTTCAGAAGGCAGGGGTTTTTGTTGTTGTTTGTTTTGTTTTGTTTTGTTTTAGACAGGGTCTCATTCTGTCATCTAGGTTGGAATGCAATGGCACAATCTTGGCTCACTGCAACCTCTACCTCCCAGGCTCAAGCGACCCTCCCAAGTAACTAGAACCATAGGTGCGCACCACCACACCAAGCTAATTTTTTGTATTTTTGGTAGAGATGGGGTTTCACCATGTTGCCCAGGCTGGTCTCGACCCTTGAGCTCAAGAAATCCACCCACCTAGGCTTCCAAAAGTGCTAGGATTACAGGCATGAGCCACCTCACCCAGCCTTGGTTTTAGTTTTTTGGGGGATGAGTGTTAGGTTGTGTGGAAGCTGTGAAGAGTGAGATTGACTGTATTATCTGATTAAACCACACTGTATTTTCTAAGATTTAAAGCATTTATCAGGGAAATAATGTAACTGAAATACCTTTTTGTATGCTTTTGCCTAGTCAATATCCCTTTTTCTGTTTGTCTTTGTATCTAGAACCCACAGTGAAAAGAGGAAAATAAAAGCTTCAGGTCGTCTTCTGATCACCTCTACACAGACATAATCCGAATGTTAACCTGAATTACAGGGCATTAAAATACATGGATTACCTAGCCTGTCAGTCATCTATCATTTATTAGTACTAAAGATATTTAGTAGGGAGCTACTGAAATAATCATCAATACTGTATTCTTCAAAAGCAGAGTTTCATAAAAGTTTATAAAAAGTTTAGCTGCTTCAACTCTAAAGTCTCAGAGTACTAAATAAGCCTTTGTGAAACCGCCTTTGCAAAATTATGACTGAGACAGTGAAAGGTATCTAACCTAGCCAACTCTGTCTTGCTTCTTAACCTCCAAGCTGTCCTTGTCCATTCCTGGGAATAGGCTGAACTAACTTTGGGAGAAACTTAGTTTATAGTTTAAAACAAATACACTAACAGCCCTTTCCCAAAGCTGACCTCTTTCTTGCCTGGGGACTAGATTGCCTTTGTAAGATTAACATTAGCCACAAGATTAGTAATTATGGTTTAGGAGTCATGCAGCTGGAGGCTACAAGATTCTGACCCTCCCTAAACTGCTCCTAAGATCAGTGCTTGAGATATTTTGCAGATCCTGCACTTGATGGACCAGCTGGCACCACCCAGATCGATAAACTGGCTCATCTGATCTTGTGGCCCCCACCCAGGAACTAACTCAGCCCAAGAAGACAGCTTTGAATCTCTACGATTTCACCACTGACCAATCAGCACTCCTGGCTCACTGGCTTCCCCTCACCCACCAAGTTGTCCTTAAAAACTCTCTCCCCAAATGCTCAGGGAGACTTATTTGAGTAATAATAAAACTCTGGACTCCTACACAGCCAACTCTGCGTGAATTACTCCTTCTCTACTGAAATCCCCCTGTCTTGATAAATTGGCTCTCTCTAGGCAGCGGGCAAGGTGAACCCACTGGGTGGTTACATTTGCATTCTTGTAAATAAACTAACTAAAACATTGTCAATAGCTTGTTGGATCTATGTAGAAATTCATAATATATAAAAAATTTACAACATTTAAAGAAACTATCATCAGAGTGAGCAGGCAACCTACAGAATGGGAGAAAATATTTGCAATCTATCCATCTGACAAAGGACTAATACCCAGAATCTACAAAGAACTTAAACAAATTTACAAGAAAAAAACAAACAACCCCATTAAAAAGTGGGCAAAGGATATGAAGAGACATTTCTCAAAAGAAGACATTTATGCAGCCAGCAAACATGAAAAGAAGCTCATCATCAATGGTCATTAGAGAAATGCAAATCAAAACCACAATGAGGTATCATCTCACACCAATTAGAATGGCGATCATTAAAATGTCAGGAAACAACAGATGCTGGAGAGGATGTGGAGAAATAGGAACACTTTTACACTGTTGGTGGGAGTGTAAATTAGTTCAACCATTGTGGAAGACAGTGTGGCGATTCCTCAAGGGTCTAGAACCAGAAATACCATTTGACCCAGCCATCCCATTACTGGGTATATACCCAAAGGATTATAAATCATTCTACTATAAAGACTCATGCACATGTATGTTTATTGCGGCACTGTTCACAATAGCAAAGACTTGGAACCAACCCAAATGTCCAACAATGATAGACTGGATTAAGAAAATGTAGCACATACACTCCATGGAATACTATGCAGCCATAAAAGAGGATGAGTTCATTTCCTTTGCAGGGACATGGATGAAGCTGGAAACCATCATTCTCAGCAAACTAACACAGGAACAGAAAACCAAACACTGCATGTTGTCACTCTTAAGTGGGAGTTGAACAATAAGAACATATGGACACAGGGAGGGAAACATCACACACTGGGGCCTGTTGGAGGGTGTGGGGCTAGGGGAGAGATAGCATTAGGAGAAATACCTAATGTAGGTGATGGGTTGATGGATGCTGCAAACCACCATGGCATGTGTATACTTATGTAAAAAACCTGCACGTTCTGCACATGTATCCCAAAACTTAAGTATAATTAAAAAAAAAAAACCACAACATTTATCTACAGTTTTAAGGATGATAAACTAATCATCCTCTAGGACCCCTCTTATAACCATTAAACTGAAGGTTCAGCAAACTTTTTCTGTAAAGAATGAGATAGTAAATATTTTAGGCTTTGTGGGCCATATGATACAGTCTCTTTCTCAACTACTTAACCCTAATGTTGAAGTGTAAAAACAGCCATAGACAATATGAAACTGAATGGGCCTGCCTGTGTTCCAATAAAACTGTACTTATGGACATTAAAATTTAAAATTTAGGTACTTTTATGTATTATTAAATATAATGTTTTGCTTGAACTTCTTCATCATTTGGCTCTAAAGGCCATTGTTTGAAGACCTCTGATCTGGAAGGCTAATTTTTCAATATGGAAAAGCTGGTTAAAGATAATTATTGTGCAGTATAAAAGGGCTACTACATTAATATTCATGTCATAATTTGTTCATGACAAATTTCTGTCTGTAGCCCTGCAGAGAAGTTGTGACACAGAAATTAAAACAAATCTATTGACTGGAATAGTGACTTTATGGGATGGAAATAAATCCTGGCGTTTTCATGAATAAATATTTGCCCTGAAAAGCTACTTATTTTCTGCCAGTAGCAGAGAGAAACAGCACAGGATACCTCTCCCTAAAATCTACACACCTCATTTTTAGCTCAAATGAATCAAAATTCCAGGACACAACAATACCCAGAAATTATATTGGTGTCATTCACATAAATCATTTACAGACTAAATATCAAATCCCCAGCATTCTTGTGTCCATTAAACCTCATGAAGGCATCATTTCATAGTAATTATCAGGTAAATATTTTTACATTTCATAACATGATGTAAGTGGCATTTCGGACAGGTTAATCTGGCACCAAAGAGGCTGCATGCAGATAGGTGACCCTGTGATTCTAATTATAGAATACTTGAGTATCATGTTAGAGAAGGCTCATTAGAATTACTTATACAACCTTGCACATGCCATGAGTTCAAACCTAATACACTCTAACCCAATCTTCCTTTAGATTCACTGTCATCACCAGTAACTCTGATTAGAAAGAGTAATCATATGTAGGGTCATTACTTTCTAAGGATTACCATATGCAAGTTTGTTTTTGATTTACGTAAAAAACATTTTGAATTTCAAACTATTAAGAATACTTTAGGATTCCAAGTTCCCACATTTTATAATAGTAAACAACCTCATTCTGAATGTCAGAGGATTTCTGCATTTTTTTTCCCATAGGTACTGTCTCTTAGCCAAATGATTTATAATTACTCAGTATATCATAAAGTAAAATGTGCAAATAGCCTGGTTAGAAACTAAAGATTTTCATGTGCATTATATGGCCAGCATGCACATCCCATGTGAAGATCATAATTCCCAGTGTAAATCTCACAGATGACATGTCAGGCCTTTTTATTTTGTAGCAGGTCTTTACTACTTGGCCCTGAAATTTGTAGTCATAAAACTTTCTACTTTACCAACTCAAGTCATTTTGCAGGATGGATCAGTTGACCTGTTGGCCTAATTGTGTTTTCACTGCTTCATTTCTTTTCTTTTCTTTCTTTTTTGTTTTTTTTTTTTCTTTTTTCGAGATGGAGTCTTGCTCTGTCGCCCAGGCTGGAGTGCAGTGGTGCAGTCTCAGCCTACTGCAACCTCTGCCTCCTGGGTTCAAGCAATTCTTCTGCCTCAGCCTCCTGAGTAGTTGGGACTACAGGCGCCTGCCACCACGCCTGGCTAATTTTTGTATTTTTAGTAGAGACGGGGTTTCACCATATTGGCCAGGCTGGTCTCGAACTCCTAACCTTGTGATCCACTCGCTTCAGCCTCCCAAAGTGCTGAGATTACAGGCGTGAGCCACTGCTCCCGGCCTCACTGCTCCATTTCATAAAATTTGAATAGTCTCATTTCTCATGTTTCTGGGGGTTTTACCCTTCATGGCTATTTTTTTTTAAGTACCATAATACATCACTAGCCTGTGCTGGAGGCTTTTTATGAAGCTACATTGTATGAGAATCAGGTGACCTCCTAGCTCTGACTATTCTGCCATTACATTTTTCATGATATAAGTTTTGTGTGTGTGTGTGTGTGTGTGTGTGTCTGTGTGTGTGTGACACAGTCAGACATATTTTTTGCTGATTAGAAGACTACATGGCATTATAAGCAGGCAACTTTCCTTCATTCCTTGAATCATAATTCATTTCAGCTCAATCAGAATGGAAATAATCTATTTGTAGATACGCAAGATGAAGCTTCTTCTTTCAGTAATGTTATTGTTTATAAATTGTTAAATTGGCTATTACTGCAGTTGTGTGAACTTTGCAAATGAAATAGCAATATTGTGAATGTTTGAGAAACTACAATTCTTTGACTAACATTTAAAATATGACAGAATTGAAACTTAATACGCTTTGAAACTGGCATGTGTCAAAAAAGCCATTAAGTAATACTAAAACCAAATATTAAAACTGAAATAGACAATGGTTTCAATGAAAAGCCTAATTATCAGTCAAAAAAAGAATAGTAGAAATATCTACATTGTTTTTGGTACTAACCACATCCATATTTAGTGACTTACATTTAAACTTATGAATTACCAAAGCACCTTGACTATCTAATAGTTATCTGATAGCCTCAGCTATCCTAAAAGAACCTCATATCAGGAAGTAAGTGGGGGAATAAAGGCATGTAAATTCCTAAAGTATTTATCACAAAGTTTGTTTTCAGAATCATATCTACCATACTCTGCTTTTATTTTTAATTTTAACAAACTTGGATATCTGTTTCTCCAGCTCACAGTGTGTATTAGGAGGGTTGGTAGCTGCTAGAAATGAAAACATTGACAGAAGGAGAAGTTCCCACCAATTTTCTTTAGATATGCCTTTAGCTACATAAAATATGTGTGATTGTTCTTCTACGTGACAAGCCCTCCTGTGTTTGAAGATAGTTAAGACTCATGTATAAGTCTTCCTATTCCAGGCTATAATTCCCATCCTAATTTGTTATGGTTTTCAGAACTTTTATGATGCTATTAACCCTTTTCATTTTTGTCCCTGTAGTCTACTAGCATAATTAACAAGATCAAACCTAAACTACTTACTCCATTGTCAGTGATGAAATAGACTTGGGAGATGATGGAACCATGGATCACATATGATCCAAATAATCATTTTATTTTTAAGAATATTAGTCAATAGTTAAGTTTTTCTAGTTGTTATTTGAAAATATGTTTCCATAAAATAAGCCACAAGTTTGGTTTGAACACTGCTTCATCTCTGGTGTCACTCCTTTATATTTTCAAAATAATTCTCCCTTTGCCATAGTTACACAACATGTCTGTTTAATTAATACATTTTAAACAAGCCAAATGTCATTCAAGCAACAGATGGTTTCTGACTTGGATTAGATGTTGGAATAATTTTGTAGCATACAATGAAAGAGGAAAAACCTGGCATTGTCATTAATGGCATAAACGCTTGGATCAAAATATTTCTTGTTTAATGTTAGTAAAAAATGCAACAAAAAGTTATGATGGTGAATAAATATCAGTTTTTAAATAATAATTATTAGAATGTATTCCTAATAAAATTGGAGAATGCACACATCGGCCAGTATGCTAGTAATTTCGTTAGTGTGTTGAGTTTATGGATAGTGGTAACATATTTGTTTAGACCCATTCTGGTGTATATGAAACATGTTTGTTTCATCTTTTTTACCTGGTGTTCATTAGCACATGGAAAATAATTGCTGCTTTGTAATATGTGTCACTTCCTGGAAATTAATATGAGATGAATAGACCAATGTTTCCTTTGAACTTTTCTTACATTTAAAAAACATTGAAGTTCTATAATCATCATAGATAATCAAATAATAAATTAAAATAGTTGCATCTTCCAGTAATAATATTCACCAGTGTGGAAGATAGTAGCAAGCAACGTTGTGGTAAATATAGTTGTGGGTGGAGTTGTGGGGAGGAATTGTAATCAACTAATATCTGTAGTGTTGCTGTAGTCTTTTACTTGTGGATCTCTCTACAGAGGTGTATTTCTTCTAAAAGCAGACTCCCCTCTACTTATTTTCCATACAAACAAAAATATCTCTATATACTGTCTACCACACCCACATACTCCACACGCACATACACACATACACACACACGGTATTAAAAATAACCTCAAAGTGACTGACAAGTTAAAGAATTAAAAAAAAAAAGATCATTATGCTATGGTCCCAGGAGTAAATTGATATGGCACTGTCCTTTTCATTTTTCTTAAAAAGGTATAAAAATATACTTCTTAATTATTTCTAAATTGAGGATGGGAATACAAACTAGTAGAAAGATATAGTCTCCAACTCTAAAACCCATAAATCAATCTTATATATTTACCCCCAATATATTATTTGGACCTTTTGTAACACTACTTTTGTTGCCTTTCATAACATTTGGGAATTAGATAAGGGATTGAAAATTTGGATAAAATTGATAGCTAGCTACAGCAACCAGTAGCTATCAAGTGGTTTTCAAAACATCAGCTACGTAGAAATCACCTAGTTAATTTGTTAATCATGCATATGTCACAAGATCTTTGGGGTATTGCTTCACCAGACAGAATCCTCTGTGGCCGATGGTGCCTTTGCTCGAGTTTTGCTCGGGCCCACTGGGCTTATTCCACCCACTCGGCTTGGCAGGCTGCACTCAGGTCTCACTACCAGCCCGGAACCCATGCCTGCCAAAGGCAAGTCAAATGCAGGGAGGAGAGGGGTGTGTGAGTGAGCAAGCACAAGTTCCGGCCACTGCGCATAACCAGGTACACTGGCTGTGGTGAGGTGGGCAGCTGCAGGTGCCAGCGTGGGCACTGGATCCCTGCAAGGCTGCAGCTGAACCAACTGTACTGCAAGTGAATTGGGCACCAGGGAACATGGTGGCACCTGGAATCTTGGAGATGCCAGGACCCACAGAGCCCCAAAAAGGGTGTCACAGCCCTGGCTCAGGGAGCTCCTAGGTCCAGGCTCCCCAAAGGGCACAGCTCTTCTCTTATGCTCTCTTCTATCCTCATCACCCCCAACGTGGCAAGTTGGGGTGGGGGGGTGGTGTTTCAGCCCTGTTTGTGTTACAGCTCTTTCAGCCCTGCCATTTGGTGGGTCCTGAGTCCTGTGTCCAGGAAGAATGAGGTATGCAGACAATTGGAGTGTGAGCAAAGTGAAGAGATGCTTTGTTGAGTGAAAGCGCACCTCTCAGAAGACACGGAGTGGGTAGCTCCTAACAGCAGTTAGATCATCTGTCGTTTGTCCAATTCTCACTGAGTCCTGGAGTTTTTATGGGCTTGAGACGGGAGAAAGTCCATGCTGATTGGTCCATGGACAGCCATAGGCAGGCCAGAAAAAGCACGCATTCTCACTCTGGTCTGAGGAACTGGCCAACGGGCCCCCAGGCTTCAGGCCTTCTCTGACCGGAAGGTGGGACTTCACCAGGGACATGCCCTTTTCTGAGCAGAAGCCTCTATGCCTCCTGACGCTATCAATCATGTCATCCATGGCACCCACTATCAATCATGACATCTATGGCACCCAGGCTGTTCATGCCAAAGGACACCTTCAGGCCCATGCCCAGCTGCCCTCAGCACCCCCTCTGCTTCCCTCCCTTGTTTGTGGGTGGTCAAAGTCTGGAGGGGGCTGAGGCAGCCATGGGCATGTCAGGACCGCCAAAAGCTCACACACATCCCACCAGGTTGCCACAGTGCCCAGGCTTGGCCTCAACTTTGCTCCAAAATTGGAGTGGGCAGCTGGAGAGCTGAGAGGCCAAGCAGCAGGTGCAGGCTCTTTCAAGCCTGCTGGGGCAGGAGGGCTTCCTGGATCCCCAAGAGCACAGGATACCTGGGGCAGCAGTCCCAGCTGGGCCCCTGCAACTGCACCTGGGAAGGCGAGGCTGTCACCCCTCCAATTCAGAAGGAGGAGGGGCTCCCACCTGTTCCTGGTTCCCACAGGCTCCATGGAGCATGCAACCCTGGTCAAGCCTCCCCCACTGCAGCTGGTGTCATGGCAGTGGCCACTCCAGACAGCCGCCACTGCCATCACAAATTCCTGGGTTTCAAAATTCAAATATTCTGTTCTGTTTTAGTAGGTCCGAAGTAAGATTCAGATTATTTAAGCCACATGGTCTAACATAGAGTGAATGTTTGTGTCACCCTAAAATTCATATGTTAAAACATAATCACTAATGTGATGGCATCTGGAAGTTGGCCTTTGGTAAGTGCTTAGGTCATGAGGGCAGATCCCTTATAAATCAGATTAGTGCCCTTATATAAGTGACTTCAAAGATCTCTTACCCTTTCTTCCCTGTGAGTACACGGTGAAAAGATGCCTCCTTGTCTATGAACCAGGAAGTGAGCCTTCACCAGACACTGAATTTGCCAACAATTTGATCTAGGACTTCTTAGCCTCCAGAACTCTGAGAAATAAATTTATGTTGTTTATAAGCCACCTAGTTAATAGCATTTTGTTCTAGCAGCCTGAGCAGATTAAGACATGGTTCTTTGATAATTTCAGAAACATATATATTTATATGTGTGTATGAGAGAAAACTGGGAATGCTGATTAAGTTTTCTAAATATGTTTATAATAGACTCTTTTTTTGGCATTTTAATATGATCATATTAGAGTAATGAAATTTTAATGATGTCAGACTACCCTAATTAGAACAATTTTAGAATATGATTATTTCACAATTTTTATTCTATAGACATCTCCTTTTGCCACAATATTATATTTAATCACATCTCTTACCCTGACTCTCATTAGAGGACCATTAAACAAGACAACTTACCGTGAAACTATGAAATAAAAACTCTCAAAAATCATTATTTTTCGTAAAAATCAAAAATAAATCTACACAAAAATATCTTTCTAAATTTATAATATTAATCATTCTAAGGCATTTGAAATCATTATGGGCAACATTTCTGGGATTTTTATTGCTCATATACCCTCTTTGTAGATCAAAAATACATTGTATTGATCAGAGAAATCATGATTACAATTTGTTATCTGCTGAATAATTAAATTCTATAACATTCAAAAGTCATAGGATTATCTTAAAAATAAGAGACTAATTCTGAAACAAGAATATATTCATTTTACTTGGCAAAATTGATGAATTGTCTTTGGATATATATATATATAATTTTATATTTTCAAGCCACTACATCCATTAACTATACAGTTTAATCAGTTCACTTTTAATTCACTTTAATTAGTTGCTATTACTAGAATGATTTTGCATTCAGGATGTGTTCCTGCTCACTTTTGATAAATGATACATATGATCTAGTGATGACATTATTAACACAGAGATGGCCATGGTATAATATAATGAAAAAACGTGGGATGGGGGAGCTTCACAGATACGAAATTATCTGTGGATAATTTGATCATACTAGAGTGATGCTGTTCTGAAGAAAAACTAAGACAATTGCATGGTACTATAAGGATTAAAATAAAATCAGTAAAAATATTTTTTTCTGATTATATGCTTGTGTGAATAAAGGAATCACATATTTTCTATTTAATAAGAATTGATTATTGCTTGGTACAGCCTTCATAATACAAAATTTTGCTTCTATTTACAGTGAAGACAAGTTGGATCATAGGACTGTTAAAATTAGAGCTATGAATCTCATGGCATTGAAGGAAAAATATTGCTAAAAGAGATTTGTGCTTAAGAGCTCTATAAACTGTAGTGTTGGGGCACCTTCATTCATAATAAAATATTCCCAAATAGGTATAATGACTCTAGGTCCAATACTGAGTTCAACTAATGTTAAATGCAATGAGCCTTCCAAAAGTTCTGATTTCTGAAGTGCATTCAATGGTTTATTTAAGATATACAAATTGAAAAGATTACATCCTACAAGATACAGTAGGTCACATTTTACAATTTTAAAAGACTAGTGTTGTCTCTAGCTCTCTGAAGTTCCTATTAAATTTCAAAATGATACCTTTCTGTCTTTTCCACTTACACCTTGACAATTCTTCAGTAAGTAATTAACACATAGAATCTATAAAACTGTACCTGGCAATTATATAGAATATTTCCTTACTGGAAAATTATCTGTTTTTAAAAAATATTTTGATCATGTTTCCAAATGTTAATGTAAATCACAAGTGTCTCATTAGTAACTGACATAAGGGTCAGGAGTTAGAACTGGTGGTACTTTGAAAACTGCCATTAGCTAATAATGTTTAAATTTAAAGAATGTTAAATTAAACATAATGGAACATTAAGTTATTGTCACAAATAAGTACAGGATTTATTTATTTATTTATTTTTGCAAAAAGTGATACTGAAAAGAGGAAGAATCAGGTGCTGTTTATTTTACCTAAAGAAAGAGTAGCACACTCTGAACATTTGCTTCTGTTTTGACATCAGCCTTTGAAATATGTTTTATTAATCTAGACTTCACCTTCACTTAGTGATCACAGACAACCAAGCAGCTTAAAATCCTAATAGACATATGGCACAAAGAATTAAGTTAGCCCTATTGTTGAAAGATGAATTTGCTGTATATTAGTGCTGCTGGATATTTTTTTTGTTCAATAGCTTCATGAAAATGCAAATCATCAAATCTCTTCAGTGTGTTTGTTACATTTTGTTAGTTTTCATGCTCCTCTAAAATTGCTTATTTATGAAGGTATTTAAATTTTGTTGCAGTAATGAAGCAAAAGCAAAATAATCACATCACTTTGAGAAAATAACACAAGTAACTCGATGTTAAGAGGGTAAACTCTAAGTTGGAAACTGGTCATAAAAGATGGGATAAATTCAAATTAAAGACAGTTGCTCACCCCGCAATTGATTTTTTAAAACAAGTTTGACATGTCAGTTTGTGGTACATTTTATAAAACAGATTTTTCTCTGATCCAAATAACAGCAAAATATGTTGTGATACATACATTTACAAATATGAGCTCAGACCTAATAGGGGAAAGAAGGGCATAAAGAAGATATCTTGATGGTAGGAAGAATACACACACACATGCACATGCATTCACATATGCACAGTGCTTTTCAAAAGTCTAAGCACATCAATATTTCTTAATTTCCTTCTCAGGTTATTTAAAAAATTGCCTTTAACAAACAAAACAAGGCCGGGCACGGTGGCTCATGCCTATAATCCCAGCACTTTGGGAGGCTGAGGAGGGTGGATCAAAAGGTCAGGAGTTCAAGACCAGCCTGGCCAAGATGGTGAAACCCTGTCTCTACTAAAAATACAAAAATTAGCCGGGTGTGGTGGCGGGTGCCTGTAATCCCAGCTACTTGGGAGGCTGTGGCAGGGAACTGCTTGAACCCAGGAGGCGGAGATTGCAGTGAGCCGAGATTGAGCCACTGCACTCCAGCCTGGGCGACAGAGCAAGACTCCATCTCAAAAACAAACAAAGAAACAACAAAAAAAAATATTAAAAGTCATGTAAACAGGTAAACACTTTAAATATGCAATAATCTTTAACTAGATACTACTAGCAAATATTTTTCAGGTAATAATTGAAAATACATATAAACATAAACTAATTCTTAAAAATATAAATGAATGGGCCAGGTTCGGTGGCTCACACCTGTAATCCCAGCACTTTGGGAGGCCGAGGAGGGTGGATCATGAGGTCAGGAGATCAAGACCATCCTGGCTAACACGGTGAAACCCCGTCTCTACTAAAACTACAAAAAAAAATTAGCCAGGCTTGGTGGTGGGTACCTGTAGTCCTAGCTACTCAGGAGGCTGAGGCAGGAGAATGGCATGAACCCAGGAGGCAGAGCTTGCAGTGAGCTGAGATCGTGCCACTGCAATCCAGCCTGGGCAACTGAGCAAGACTCCATCTCAAAAAAAAAAAAAAAATATATATATATATATATATATGTGTATATATATATATATATATGTGTATATATATATATATATATATATATATATATATGAATGGAATGATTAAAAAGTAAGTGAGGTAAACCCTTAAAATCTGCATGTTTAATTTTATATTTAATAATCCCAAATATTTAGGATAAATTTTCATTAACTGCACATTTTAAAAATTTTGCCATGCCAATGTATTATGAAGAAATCACATCTAAGTTTGCTTATCCGTATATTCATATAATATCAACAAAAATCATTGATTTGACACCAATAATTTCAAGATAGTAATTAATGATTCAATTTGATAAGCCTTTGGACATTTTCATAAATTTTATACACAATTTAAATATGGATAAACAAGATCTGAATTACATTTCACACATGGTGATATGGATTATCACTTTAAAACCTGGCTCAATTGAATTCCAAAGACATTTGTTAAATGGCAACAGTGTAACATTTGTTAAATGTTGCTTATTACACTTGAACACATCTCAGATCCAGAGGATCTTTCCATTATTTTCAACTGAACCAACAAAAAGCTCACGTTGCAGAAGAATCATTCTTCAAACAAATATAATCAATTATCATACCAGAAATGTAGCATATTGTGAAGCTTCCACATCTAATATTCATTTGTTAGGAGGAAAAAAAAGACTTTTCATTGATATTCTAAAGTATTGATAAAGGTCTTCCTGACTATTACTATGCTAAGTGCAAATATCTGGAGACAAAGAGCACTCTCTGGGAGACAATGGATAAATCGTCTTTGGATAAAAGAGAAATGTTAAGATAACAAACTTGTACTGAGGCAACTTGAAGCAGTATTCTGTGGTGGAAAAGATAAAATGTGAGTTACACATAATTCAATTGAAAATAATCTTCAGAAATTTAAAATTTGGTAAATGTTTTTTAAAGGGTTGCATTATTGATTTTTAAAATTCATATTATAAAAAGAGAAATGGCCAGGAAAATATAAAGTTCCATGATTCATTTCTGAAGAAAAAAATGACAAATATAAAAGTGAGGTTTTGAAAATGCAATAAAAACAACATAAAGACTATATGAAACCATGGAAATTATAACCAGTCACTTCATTAAATATAATTATATATAAAAACTTCAAAACAATCTCATAGGAACATGCATCCTTGGTCTTTAAAATGTCTCATTTTGTAGTGCAACATCTACAAGCAAGTAAATTATTGTTTTTTTAATTGCCACAGGAATTGCGGTGCAAAATTGGTTATTAGAAAAGGATGAGTGCCGTGAAGTCTTAGAAAAATAGGATACAATTTCATTTAGATGAATGAAAGTAAATGAATACAGTTCACTTGTTTGAACACTGTCTTCTGTTTAAAAATTAGTTAATTCAGTAAAGCATTACTCTTTAGTTTTACACTAAAATATGTAGGCACATTTCTAAGGATCAAATCTAATTATCTTTCTGATATAATTACTTGATTATTAATGAGCTGTTAAAAAAATCGAAGTGGTTAATACCTCAGCGTCATTCAAGAAAAGCCTACTTCCTAATTTCTCAGAGATTTTAAGATTCAGAAGCATCCTTTTAAGAGTTATATTCTGCTCCTTTCTTACTCTGAAATCTAATGCAGTGAAGGATTTTAAAACACATCATTCCAGAATATGCTCTTTGGCATAAGAATTATTTTGAGCTAAAGGCATTTGAAAAACAGCAGGTGCAAGAAGTTCACTCTGACCTTCATTCTGTTTCTTAACAGCAGGAGACGAAATTCCCATGCGAAAGATATCCTTTTTGTACTGGAAGGCAAGAAAACTTGTCTTCGAGGACAGAAAATTGAGACTGAGGGAAATTTGTACAAACTTTGTTAAACCAACCTTATCTTCTTAGTCACAACTCTACCCAATTAACTCCTGTAGCCCAAACCCCTTTGCCTTGCTACATTTTCACAATTTACTACATTTTGTCCAATACAGCATGTAAGTTTTCAACTCCAACTGCGACTTTGGTTCTTCATTTCCTTATTTATGAAGACTCCCATGCCATGTAAAACTTGTATTGAATAAATATGTATACATTTCTTCTATTGACCTGTCTCGTGTCAGTTTAATTCCCATATCCAGCAGAAAAACCCTAAGAGTAAGGGCAAAAGTTTGCCTTCCTTTTAGCAGTCTCTAAAACATATTTTTATCTCCTAGTATCAACGTATGAATATATGATTATTTTAAAACATTTGAAAATTCATTTGATTGACATACCAACTTGAGTCAGATGATTCAATCTAGTTAATGAATACTCATTTATGGTGTAAAATATTTTTAATTGTATAATCAAATCTAAGTGCTGGGCCTTATTACCCTGCTACGTCTCTTCAATTTAGCTGAAAATAAATGTTCTATTAATAATATAGTTTTTGATGATCTATCAATGATACATGCTTAAAATTAGTGGTTTTCAAACTTTAGACAAATATAATGTAACAATTGATAAGCTAGTTATTAAATACTTATAATGCATTGCTACCTCATTTAAAATACATTGTACAAATAAGACACTGGGGATGGGGCAGTGACTGTGGGGATCGGGGTGCGGGAGGCCGCTGTGGCTGCTGCCGCTGCGTCTCCTGCTCCTGATGTTGTGGCTGTTGTCACGGGAGCTGGAGCCTCCGCCATGACCGTTTATCCCACACACAGCAAAGGCCCTAGAACTTCCGGGATCACATAGTTCCGGTCCATCTGCGGGGAGAAGACGGCAAGGCTAGGCGAGGGGAGGGGAAGGAGACTGAGGCACCCGCTCGGTACCCGCCAGCTCCACGTCGCGTCTCTGAGTGCTCTCGCCACTTGAAGAAGTCAATTTTTATATTGTATTATTTAAGCTCACTTTAAAACATATTCTTCAAAACAGGGTAAAATTGAGGGTTAGTTTATAATCCTGTACCTATCAAAGAGAAGTAACAGGAGTTGCTTATCACAAAAAATAGCATATTCCCTCCCCTAAGAATCTTTTATTTTCCTTATTTTCCTTCATCATGTCTATCAGCACACTTTTGTGATGCTCTCTGAAAGGAGATCCTGATATTGATAGCCATGAATTCCTCACTGTCCTACATGGATTCTGGCTTTAATTTCTTTTTCAATTAGCATTGAGCTTAAGAGAAAGGCAGTTTATTTAGCTAGTTATCTGTTGCTAGGAATCATACTCAATAAATAAATAAAATAGACATATAATATATTTCTTACATTATAAAAAAAATTCAAATATCATCTGTATATCACAATATAATTATGCTAATTTCATTCATAGCTCCTCTGTTGGCACTATGATCCAAATCTGTCTTCCTTATATACCCAAAAGTACCTAAATCCTTATTACCCAAAAGTACCTAAACCCTTATTACCCAAAAGCCATCAAATCACCCACCCCCAAGTGGCACTGCTATTCCCACCTACACTTCTCTAGTTTATGCACAGCACATAAACATCTTCTAATACACTATATCACTTACTGATTTATTATGCTTATTGTCTATCTCCATGAGAGCAGAAGCTTTCCTCTGTCTTGTTCACTGTGATATACTCAGTACCTTGAACAATACCAAGAATGTAATGGGTAAAAGTCAATACATATCTGTTGAATTAAAAGTACACTAATGAATTTTCGAGGACTCACATTTGCAAAAGAGAGTACCATAATACCTGAGTTAAGTGACATGTCTGAGGAGTATAATGTTTTAATGAACAAACTCTTCTAGTTAAATAATGGAAACAAATTTAAAAGGTAGCATCCTCTTTTCCTACTTAAATCACTTCAAGAGTAATGAACATACAGGTAGAAATGCCAAATGGACAAGTGGAAATTATTTTCTGAATCTCATTAGAAAAGTCACCTATACTCTAAAAGGTCAGACGCAATTCGTGGTGCATATGAGAAGAAAGAGAGTTTTTAAAAAATATAATATGGTGGTAATAGTAAGTCCTGACTATGAGCAATTGCTTAAAATTTAAATGGATTAAACACCTTAATTATAAGACATTATAAGACATTACACTGGCATAGTGAATGAATAACCGGGAACTAAATATGTACTGTCTACAATAGACTCATGTTAGAAGTAAGAACACAAATAGGTTGAAGGATAAAAGGTGAAAACAGATAGTCCATGCAAATAGTGGCCAAAAGAAAGCAATCATAGCTATGCTAATAGTAAGCAATAGATTTTACACCAAAAAATGTTACAAGAGACAAAAAAGGACAATATGTATTGATAAATGTCTATTCACCAAAAATATATAATTATTAGCATACATGCACTACATATCAGAGCTTCTAAATATATGAAGCCAACATTAACAGAATTGAAAGGAGACAGTACTACAAAAATAGTAGACTTCAATGTTCCATTGTCAATAGTGGCTAGAACCAGAAAGATGATCAGTAAGAAAATATAGATCTTTGGCTAGGTGCAGTGGCTCACGCCTGTAATCCCAGCACTTTGGGAGGCTGAGGCGGGCGGATCACGAGGTCAAGAGTTCGAGACCAGCCTGACCAACATAGTGAAACCAGTCTCTACTAAAAATACAAAAATTAGCTGGGCATAGTGGCACACGCCTGTAATCCCAGCTACTTGGGAGGCTGGGGCAGGAGAATCGCTTGAACCCGGGAGGTGGAGATTTCAGTGAGCCAAGATCGCACCACTGCATTCCAGCCTGGGCAACAAGGCGAGACTGTGTCTCAAAAAAAAAAAAAAAAAAAAAGAAAAAAGAACATAATGGCTCTTCAACAACACTATAGACCAATTGGATCTAACAAACATATACATGACATATCACGCGAGATCAAAAGAGTACACATTTTTCCAAAGTACACATGGAAATATCTGCAGGATAGATAATATATATGGCCATAAAACTAATAGTAATTAATAAGAATGAAATCATACAAATATCTTTTGCAATCACAATGGAATGAAACTATATATTAAAGCAGAAAAAACTTGATAATTCTGAAATATGTGGAAATTAAACAACACTTTTAAGCAACTACTGGGTCAAAAAAATCACATTATAAAATATTAGAAAGAAAAATCACATTAGAAAATATCTTGAGAAAATGAAAATTAAAACACAACATGCAAAAAATGCAAAAAAATTATGAGATAAAGAAAACCAGTGCTAAGAAACAATTTTTTGTAAATGATTGGATTAAAGATCTAAAATTCACAACCAAAATTTACACCTTCAAGAACTAGAAACAGGAGAGGGGCCAAGGTGGCCGAATAGGCACAGCTCCTGTGTACAGCTCCCAGCGAGACCAACACAGAAGGAAGGTGATTTTGTCATTTCCAACTGAGGTACCCAGTTCATCTCATTGGAACTGGTTAGGCAGTAGGTCCAACCCACGGAGGGTGAGCAGAAGCAGGGTGGGGCATCGCTTCACCTGGGAAGTTCATGAAGCTGGGGGACCTTCCTCCCCTAGCCAAGGGAAGCCATGAGGGACTGTGCTACATGGCCATGTTACTACACTTTTCCCATAGTTTTTGCAATCTGCAGATTGGGAAATTCCCTCCTGTGCCTATACCACCAGGGCCCTGGGTTTCAAGCCAAAAATTGGGTGGCTGTTTGGGCAGGCACCGACCTAGCTGCAAGAGTCTTTTTCCTACCCCAGTGGCACCTGGAACCCCAGCAAGACAGAACCATTCACTCCCCTGGAAAGGGAGCTGAAGCCAGGGAGCTAAGTGGTCTCACTCAGCAGATCCCACTCCCACGAAGCCCAGCAAGCTAAAAATCACTGGCTTGAAATTCTCACTGCCAGCACAGCAGTCTGAAGTTGACCTGAGATGATCGAGCTTGGTGGGAAGAGGGGCATCCGCCATTACTGAGGCTTTATAAGGCAATTTTCCCCTGACAGTGCTAAGGAGGCTGGGAGGTGTGGACTGGGCAAATTCACCACAGTGCAGCAAAACGGCTGTGGCCAGACTGCTTCTCTAGATTCCTCATCACTGGGCAGGGCATCTCTGAAGGAAAGGCAACAGCCCCAGTCAGGAACTTATAGACAAAACCCCCATTTCCCTGGGACAGAGCACCTGAGGGAAGGGGAGGCTGTGGGTGCAGCTTCAGCAGATATCATCATTCCTGCCTGCTGGCTCTGAAGAGAGCAGCTGATCCTGAAAAAAAGGGATTCTCCCAGCACAGCACACCAGCTCTGGTAAGGGACAGATGGCCTCCTCAAGTAGGTCCCTGACCCCAGTGCCTCCTGACTGGGAGAGACCTCCCAATAGGGGTTGACAGACATCTCATACAGGAGATCTCCAGCTGGCATCAGGCTGGTGCCCTCTGGGACGAAGCTTCCAGAGGAAGGAGCAGGCAACAATCTTTGCTGTTCTACAGCCTCCACTGGTGATACCCAGGCGAACAGGGTCTGGAGTGGACCTCCAGCAAACTACAGCAGACCTGCAGCAGACAGGCCTGCTTGTTAGAAGAAAAACTAACAAACGGAAAGCAACAACATCAAAATCAACATAAAGGACCCCCACGCAAAAGCCCCATCCAAAGTTCATCAGCCTGAAAGATCAAAGGTAGATAAATCCATGAAGGTGAGGAAAAACCAGCACAGAAACGCTGAAAATTCCAAATACCAGAATGCTTCTTCTCCTCCAAATGATCGCAACTCCTCTTCAGCAAGGGCACAAAACTGGATGGAGAATGAGACTGACAAATTGACAGAAGTAGGTTTCGGAAGGTAGGTAACAGCAAACTCCTCTGAGTTAAAGGAGTGTGTTTTAACCCAATGCAAGGAAGCTAAGAGCCTTGATAAAAGGTTACAGGAACTGCTAACTAGAGTAACGAGTTTAGAGAGAAACATAAATGACGTTATGGAGCTGAAAAACACAGCACGAGAACTTTGTGAACCATACACAAGTATCAATAGCCAAGCGATAAAGTGGAAGAACGGATATCTGAGATTAAAGATCAACTTACTGAAATAAAGTGTGAAGACAAGATTAGAGAAAAAAGAATGAAAAGGAACAAACAAAGCCTCTAAGAAATACAGGACTATGTGAAAAGACCAAACCTATGATTAATTGGTTTACCTGAAAGTGATGGGGAAAATGGAACCAAGTTGGGAAACACACTTCAGGATATTATCCAGGAGAACTTCACCAACCTAGCAAGACAGGCCAACATTCAAATTCAGGAACTACAGAGAACACCAGTAAGATAATTCTTGAGAAAAGCAACCCCAAGACACATAATCATCAGATTCTCCAAGGCTGAAATGAAGGAAAAAATGTTAAGAGCAACCAGAGAGAAAGGTAGGTTACCTACAAAGGGAAGTCCGTCAGACTAACAGTGGATCTCTGCAGAAACCTTACAAGCTAGAAGAGGCTGGGGGCCAATATTCAACATTCTTAAAGAAAAGAATTTTTAATGCAGAATTTCATATCCAGCCAAACTAAGCTTCAAAAGTGAAAGAGAAATGAAATCCTTTACAGACAGGCAAATGCTGAGGCATTTTGTCACCACCAGGCCTGCCTTACAAGAGCTCCTGAAGGAAGCACTAAATATTGAAAGGAAAAACCAGTACCAGCCACTGCAAAAACACACCAAAATAGAAAGACCAATGACACTATGGAGAAACTGCATCAACTATTGTGCAAAATAACCTGCCAGGATCATAATGACAGGATCAAATTCACACATAACAGCATTAACCTTAAATGTAAATGGGTTAAATGCCCCAATTAAAAGACACAGACTGGCAAATTGGATTAAGAGTCAAGACCCATTGGTGTGCTGTATTCAAGAGACCCATCTCACATGCAAAGATACCCAGAGGCTCAAAATAAACAGATGGAAGAAGATTTACCAAGCAAATGGAAAGAAAGAAAAAAAAAAGAAAAAAAGCAGGGGTTGCAATTCTAGACTCTGATAAAACAGACTTTAAACCAACAAAGGTCAAGAAAAGACAAAGAAGGGCATTACATAATGGTAAAGGGATCAATGCAACAAGAAGAGTTAACTACCCTAAATATAAATGCACCCAATACAGGAGAACCAGATTCATAAAGCAAGTTCTTAGAGACTTAGAAAGAGACTTAGACTCCGATACAATAATAGTGGGAGACTTTAACACCCCACTGTCAATATCAGACAAATCAACAAGACACAAAATTAACAAAGTATTCAGGACTTGAACTCGGCTCTGGACCAAGCAGACCTAATAGACATCTACAGAACTCCCCATCCTAAATCAACAGAATATACATTCTTCTCAGCACCTACATAGCACTTATTCTAAAACTGACCACACAATTGGAAGTAAAAAACTCCCCAGCAAATGCAAAAGAGTGGAAATCATAATAAACAGTCTCTCAGACCACAGTGCAATCAAATTAGAAATCAGGATTAAGAAACTCACTCAAAACCACATCACTACATGGAAATTGAACAACCTGCTCCTGAATGATTATTGGGTAAATAACAAAATTAAGGCAGAAATAAATAAGTTCTTTGAAACCAATGAGAACAAAGAGACAACATACCAGAATCTCCGGGACACAGCTAAAGCAGTGTTAAAAGGGAAATTTATAGCACTAAATGCCCACAACAGAGAGCTGGAAAGATCTGAAATCAACACCTGAACATCAGAATTAAAAGAACTAGAGAACCAGAGCAAACAAATTCAAAAGCTAGTAGAAGACAAGAAATAACTAAGATCAGACCAGAACTGAAGGAGATAGAGACATAAAAAACCCTTCAAAAAAATCAGTGAATCCAGGAACCGGTTTTATGAAAAGTTTTTTTTTAAAAACAGATAGACTGCTAGCTAGACTAGTAAGGAAGAAAAGAGAGAAGAATCAGGTAGACATAATAAAAAATGATAAAGAGAATAGCACCACTGATCCCACAGAAATACAAACTACCATCAGAGAATACTATAAACATGTCTATGCAAATAAACTAGAAAATCTAGAAGAAATGGATAAATTACTGGACCACATACACCCTCCCAAGACTAAACCAGGAAGAAGTTGAATCCCTGAATAGACCAACAACGAGCTCTGAAATTGAGGCAGTAATTAATAGCCTATGAACCAAAACAAAAATCCCAGGACCAGATGGATTCATAGCCGAATTCTCCCAGAGGTACAAAAAGGAACCACTACCATTCCTTCTGAAATTATTCCAAACAATAGTAAAAGAGGGACTCCTCCCTAACTCATTTTATGAGACCAGCATTATCCTGATACCAAAACCTGGCAGAGGCACAACAAAAAAAGAAAGTGTCAGGCCAGTAACCCTGATGAACGTCCATGCGAAAATCCTCAATAAAATACTGGAAAACCAAATCCAGCAACACATCAAAAAGCTTATCCACCATGATCAAGTCAGCTTCATCCCTGGGATGCAAGGCTGGTTCAACATATGCAAATCAATAAATGTAATCCATCACATAAACAGAACCAATGACAAAAACCACATGATTATCTCAATAGATGCAGAAAGGTCTTTGATAAAATTCAACATCCTTTCATGCTAAAAACTCTTAATAAACTAGGTATTGATTGAACATATCTCAAAATAATAAGAGCTAAAACCTAATGATATAGCCATTGTAACATCATAGCACAATGCATTACTCATGTGTTTGTGGCAATCCTGGTATAAACAAACGTACTGGCCAGGTGTGGTGGTTCACACCTGTAATCCCAGCACTTTGGAAGGCTGAGAAAGGATGATTGCTTGAGTCCAGGAGTTCCAGACCAGCCAGGGCAACATGGTGTGACCCTGTCTTTACTTTTTAAAAAAACAATACAACAACAACAACAACAAAAACCTACTGCACTGCCAGTGGTATAAAAGTATAACACATACAATTATGTACAGTACATAATACTTGATAATGATAATAAATAACGATGTTATTGGTTTATATATTTTCTATACTATACCTTTAATTGTTATTTTAGAGTATATTCCTTCTACTTATTGAAAAAAGAAAAGTTAACTACAAAACAGCCTCAAGCAGATCTTTCAGGAGGTATTTCAAAAGAAGACATTGTTATCATAGGAGAAGACAGCTCTGTGCATGTTACTGTCCCTGAAAACCTCCCAGTAGGACAAGGACAAGATGTGGAGGTGAAAAGAGTGATATTGATTATTTTGACCCTATGCAAGCCTATGCTAATGTTTGTGCATTAGTTATTAACAGAAAGATTTAAAAAGTTTAAAATATAGAAAAAAATAGAAAAAGCTCATAACATAAGAATATAAAGAAAGAAATTTTTTTTTTTTTTTTTTTTTTTTTTTTTTTTTTTTTAAGAAAGGGTCTTCTTATGTTTCCCAGGCTGGAGTGGAGTGTCTATTCACAGGTGCAATCTTGCAGTCTTTTTAGTGCACTACAGCCTGGAGTCAAGGAATCCCCGTCTCAGCCTCTCAAGTAGCTGGAATTACAGGTGCCCACCACTGTGCCCAGCAAAGAGAAAACGATTTGAGCTATAAAATGTGTTTTTGTCTTAAGCTAAGTGCTATTACAACAGAGTCAAAAGTTAGAAAAAAATAAAAGTTTACGAGGTAAAAGAGTCATAGAAAGCTAAGGTTCATTTATTACTGAAGAAATAAAAATATTCTTTCATAAATTTAGTGTTAGCCTGGTACATGTTTATAAAGTACACAGTAGTGTAAAGTAATGGCCTAGGACTTCACATTCACTCACCATTTATTCATTGACTCACCCAGAGCAACTTCCAGTCCTGCAAACTCTACTCATGTTTAGTGCCCTATACAAATGTAGCATTTTCTATTTTTTGTACTATTTTTACTCTACCTTTTCTATGTTTAGATACACAAATACTTACCTTTGTGTTACCATTGCCTACAGTATTCAGTACAGTAACATGCTGTACAGATTTGTAGCCTAGGAACAATAGGCTATGCCATATAGCCTAAGTATGTAATAGGCTATAGAGTGTAAGTTCATGTAAGTACACTCTATGATGTTTGCACAGTGACAAAATCCCCTAACAAGGCATTTCTCAGAACATATTGCCATTGTTAAGTAGCACATGACTATTATATGAGGAAAGCATTACCATGATTCCAAAGCTAGACTAAGACACTATAAGAAAACTACACACCAATATCTCTAATGAAAATCCACAACAAAATACTTTAAAACAGAATTCAACAATATATTAAAAAGGTTACACACCGAGACTGAGTAGTAATTATTCTGAGAAGAAAATGCAAAGACAGTTTAACATACAAAAATCAATGACTGTACTATACCACCTAACAGAATGAAGGGAAAAACATACCTCATCATATCAATGGATGAAGAAAAACATTTGATGAATTTCAATGCTCTTTTATGATTTAAAAAAAAACACATTAAACCAAGTACAAATACAAGGAAACTATTTTAACATTATATCATATATGAAAAGCCTGCAGCTAATATCATATTCAATGGTGACTGTCTGTAAGATTTCCCTCTGAGATCAAGAATAAGATAAGGATAACTGCTTCCACCACTTGTATTCAATATACTACTGGAAGTACTAGCCAGAGCAATGAGGCAAGAAAAAAGAGTGAAAGTCATCTAAATTGGAAAAGAAGAAGTAAGTTTATCTCTGTTTTTAGATGGCATGATATTAGATGTATAAAATCCTAAAGATTATTCAAAAAAAAAACCTGTTAGAACTAATAAGTAAGATCAGCAGAGTTGCAGGATACAAAATCAGAACCTAAAAATCAGTTAGGTTTCTAAACACTAACAATGAACAATATGAAAATAAAATTAGGAAAACATTTCTGTTTACAATAGTATCAAAACAAGAATATATGTATGTATAAACCTAACCAAAGAGGGGAAAGGTATTCACTGAAAACTCCAAAATTTTGCTGAAACAGATGAAAGAAGACACAAATAAGTAGAAAGCTATTCTATGTTCATGGATTAGAATACTTAATATTGTGCATGGTTCAACACTTTCCAAAGAGATCTACATATTTAGTGTAATATCTATCAAAATCTAAAAGGTGTTTTTTAGAGAAATGGAAAAATCCATCCAAAAAACATATGGAATTTCAAGAGAACTGCAATAGTGAAAACAATCTTGAAAAGAAGAATAAAGTAAAAAGTCTCACATTTAAGTTACTTGTAAACTTACTACAAATCTACAATAATCAAAATGGTATGGTACTAGAATAAAGACAGATAAATAGACAAAAAAAAATAGATTAGAGAACCTAAAATTAAAGGTTCACATGATAGGGAACCTAAAAACAAAGGCTCAAATGATTTTTATCAAGAATGCCAAAACCATTTAATCAGAAAAGAACAGTCTTTTCAACCAATGATATTGGAAACCTTGATACTCACATGCAAATGAATGAAGGTGGACCCTTTCCTTACAACACATACAGAAAAACTCAAAATGCAATAACATAAATGTAGGACCTAAAACTATAAAATTATTAGAAGAAAACAGAGAGAAAAAACTTCATGACATTGGGTTTGGCAATGAGTTCTTAGAAATAACGACAAAAATATAGAAATAAAAGAAAAAATAGATACATTTGACTACACAAAATTTAAAACTTTCATGAGTCAAAAAACACAATCATCAGAATGAAAATGCAACCTACAGGGTGGAAAAAATATTTTCAAACCCTACATCTGGTATATGGTTAATATCCAAAACATCTAAAGAACTCATACAACTCAACATCAAAAATAATAAATAAGTAAATAAATAACTCCTTTAAAAAATGGGCAAAGGACTTGAATAGCCATTTTCCAAGGAAGATGAACATATGACCAGTATGCACACGAAAAGATACTCAGCATAACTAATAATTAGGGAAAAACAAAACTATATTGAGATATCACTTCACACCCATTAGAATGGCTACTATCAAAACATAAAATAACAAATGTTGATGAGGATGTGAAGAAAGTGAAATCCTGTAAACTGTTGGTAGAAATATAAAATGGTACAGCCTCAATAGAAAACAGTGTAGCGATTTCTCACATAATTTAATGTAGAATTACCATATGATCCAGAAATTCTATGTCTAGATATGAACACACAGAAGCAGGGTCTCTAAGATTCAAGTGTACTCCCTTGTTCATAGCAGAAATTTTCAGAGTAGACAAAAGGTAAAAGCCACCCAAATATCCAGTGACAGATAAGTGGATAAATGAAATGTGGTATACACTTTAAAACAGAAGGTATTTTTGACAGATGCTACAATGTGGGTGTACCTTGAGAATATTATGCTAAGTTAAATAACCCAAAAAAAGACAAATAGTACATGGGTCCACTTATACACGGTAACAAGAATAGCCAAATTAATACAAACGTAAAGTAAAATGGTGCTTGCCAGTGGCTTGGGTACCAGGAGGAATGGGGCATCACTGTTTCATGGGTAAAGAGTTTCACTTTTGTAACATGAAAACAGCTCTGGAGATGGATGATGGTGATGGCTGCAAAACAATGTGATGTACTTAATGCCATTGAACTGTATACTTAAAAACTACTACAATGGTAAGTTTTATGTTATCTGTATTTCACAACAAATCTTTTAAAAGCTAACAGTGGCATATTACAAGTTATCAGAGAGAAGAGAGCATTTGTAAAACGGGGATAGTAAAAAAAATCTAATGAATCAGGGATTTTCAAAAAGCTATGGACTGAGAAATGTCACCTGAGTTTGGTCATCATTGGTTTTCTTTAAGGTTATAAAATTGGAAAAGATAATTCTTAGTTGCAAGAAGTTAAAGAGCTGATGTGTTATGACAGCAGTTATAAAATTATCTTTTAAATTGTTTGGAGGGAAAAGGAAGTGAAGAGTTTCAGCAAATGTCTGAAGCAAAAGTAGGGTTTAGGATGTTTAGAATTATTTGTCTTTTAAAATAATAAAGACCTGATCATGTGGAGAGATATAGGAAGACCAAATAGAGAAATAACTTAAAGATGCAAACAGGGGGAATTGAAAGGAGAGATATACTTCTTTCTCAAAGACAGTAACCAAAATAAAGACAGTGAAAGGAAAGATTCAGAAATATTCTGAAAAGTATAGACGAGAAGGTGAAAAAAACTGGTTTAATTATCTTAATCTCCTAAATAAACAGTAATTGAGATAATACCTGGCAAATTGTGAGTGACGTAGCATGGGACTAAGAGTTTCAAATGAATAAAATAAATAAATAAATCAGCTTCTTCGGATAATGTGTTAAGAAATAATAAGAGATTTAATTAAAAAAAATACTGCCCAGAGGTGCCAAGAGCCCTGATACAGTTAGAAGTATGAATTTGTAGTGGCCCAACACAGGCCATTTTAAGAAATATATTTTCCAGCAGTTTTGGAAATCTGGGAGCCAAACAGCAAAATATTTACTTTTTACTGATTTTTTTTCTTGGTTTTAAAATGAATGACCCCTTAGTGAGCTAATGAAGACCTGCAGTGCCCAGAATAGTGCCTGGAGCATATAGACACTAAGTAGATTTACTTGTATGCAATGTCTTTTTAAATATGTATGATGTAGTAAAAGACAACTTTAACAAAAAAGCTAAATGAGCACTTTTTGATGATATCTAGAAAACTTACAAATGAAGGGAAGAAATGCATTTCTACTCTAGAGATCTAAAACATTGTTTTGAGTTGGCTGATCTCCAATATTTTCCCTGCAATGTTTTAAAGAATCCCCACATATTATAATTGATCATTTGAGTTATGCATATCAAATTTAGATAGGACCAATTTCGAGAAAATAATGTTCTATTTATTTATCTCCTGTGCAATATACATCATAAATTCAAAATATTTTGCGCATTAAAATGTTCGTGTTTCAAACGCTGTAGAAATGCGAATGATGCTATCACCCTAAAATGATTTTTAAATGTAAGGGAACAGTAACATCAGAAAAGCAAGAAATAAAGCTGTATTTCACTTTTACAAAGTATAAAGCACTGTATACAAAGTATAAAGTATAAAGCACTGTATACAATGTATAAAGTATAAAGCACTTATACAAAGTATAAAGTATAAAATACCCTACAAGTACTTCTAAAATAAGGAAACAATAGGAATTAATAGTTTTGAAATGTTGTATCTTAAGCTTTGTAAAACTTACACTTCAGATCTTTTATATTCAGATAATTTATTTTAAAAATAGTTGCCTAAAGAGTGAGAAAATAAGGATGCTAACAGTAAAACTTGATGGAGAGATTAATTTATGCTTAGTCACATAGATTTGTTTGCTGTTACAGACAACTCATTTGAAAAGGCATATTAAATAAGTATTTGGTACAAGGCACTGAGGAGGACTAAAATTACTATTATTTTCATGGGTCAATATTGTGTTTTAAGGGACATTTATAAAGTTAACAGAAGCATCAAATGCTTCTACCCACAGTGGAATAAACTACCTATAGTATTCTATCTTATATGATGCTCTTAGGTAATAGTGGTGTTTGCTTGCTATAGTAAGATCTAGTTACCATGTACAAAACCTAAAATGCAATGATGAAGAGATAGTTAGATATCACATGCTTGCAGCTGCTGAATTACACATACTTTAGTTTATTTCTAGCCCTGTATATCTCAAATGGCAGAGCCAATCAAATCTATTGTGTCATAAAATAAATGAGATATTAGGTCGGCTGAAAAAACTGGCTTTTGATTCACTGAATTTTATCATAGAGACATGAACTTTGCTTTAAACTAAAGTTTAAATTCCACTAGTTTGCTTTTATCATACTGTGTAAGAAATTAAATACAACAATCCAAGCTGTTCATTGTGTGCATGTACCAAGGGACATATTTACCCTTAATTGTTGTGAGAAATCTATTTAGATGTTTTAAGCTAAGGTAGTACCTTATAGACTTTTCATTACAGTCAGTTCTCACAGTGCTTTTTCTTTCCTTCTGATCAATAAGTTTAAATAATGAGATACCAAATTTTACTGTATTAGTGGTCATCAAAAATAGCCAATCACTTCTGCACACTCCAAAATATGAAGATAACTCATACACAAAATAATGCATGTTTATCCTCCCCCAAATTAATCAAGTTGAATATATATATTTTTTCTAACAAAAGGCAGTTTGGCACAAAAAAAAACATAAATGAAATTAGATGAAAAAATAGCCACGCCTCCAGGCATGAGGAACCGCCACTCAATGTGTCACAATTAATTTACAGGGAAAATGTACACTATAGATACTGCCTTCTGATGACAGCTTTTCACAAGAATCAGATTGTAAGGCTGAAGGACTGCAGATTAGTGAGAATTGATGAAACCATAAATGTCCTTGCCTTATTGAGATTATATAGCCTGAAATAGCAACTTCCTATAAGCAAGTTCCTTATGAGAAGAATTTATAATAAATAAATATGAGAACCTACAGATCTCAAATTCTAGATGCTAAAAGAAAATAAAAGAAACTAACAGAGGTGGAATAAAATATTATTGTTTGTCCAAGATCATATTTTTGTCTCTATCTGTGAGCATGATAGGTAGAGGAGTTTTTCTTGTCTGTGACTACCCAGGTTGTGTCATTGGTAACTTTAGCACTAGGAGAAATAAAGTAATTTAAGTCACAGTAAAAACTGGGTTATTATGGGCAAAGAAATATGTAATAATCAAGTTTCTAGGCTAGCACAAAGTCTACCTAAGCAAAAAAAAAAAAAAAATCAAAAAACTTACCAGAAATATTATAACATTTTTCAAAAAAGTCTAAAAAGTATCAATTTAGGACCTAAAAGGATCTGACAATAGCCAAAAATGTAGATTCTACATTAGATGAATGCACAGATTCAACATCTTTGTGTTTTCAGTAACAGGAGTTTTATTCTCTTTTCACCATTATGTGTGTGGCACATCATAGGCACTCAAGATTATTTGTTGATGAAATGGATAAATGTGTAAAAAAGAGTCTCTAGAATCTTTACTCCATGACATCAATGACCATCTGTATCTAATGATTATTTACCTTCAGTGCAGTTAGATGTCTCTTCTGAGATTTAGACCTATAATTTTTTTAGCTATGGAATCCATTCCAGATCTACAACTGTTTGCTTATAGACATTTCAAAATCAACATTTCCGAAACCAAAGTCCATATTGCCCTTCCCTCAGTCTTCTGCACTTTCTGTTTTTCATTTCTTGTGGGTCCTTGGCTTTGGCCCCATAGACGTCACCAATTATTGTCCATTCTACATCCTAAATATGCCCAAAATTTCTTCCTTCCTCCATCCTGCAT
This sequence comes from Homo sapiens, assembly GCF_000001405.40. Taxonomy (NCBI): domain Eukaryota; kingdom Metazoa; phylum Chordata; class Mammalia; order Primates; family Hominidae; genus Homo; species Homo sapiens. The sequence goes on along the minus strand of NC_000024.10, from coordinate 5,469,478 downwards.
GTGTTTTGCTTTATTCCTACATTCATTGACCAAAATTTTATCTGCAGGTAAAACATAAAGTAAAATATATCCTAAAAAATTAACTTTCAATATATTCAATTCTCTTAGGTATAAAAAAAAGACATAACACTGAAAAGATACATAATAAATTAAAATAGATTTATACTTAATGAGATCGATACAAGTAATACAGGGTATCTTAATTTGCTTAGCCTCCTATAACAAAATACCATAAACTAGATATCTTATAAACAACAGAGATTTATTTCTCACAGTTCTTGAGTCTGGGAAGTCCAATATCAAAGTTCTGACAGATTCATTGTCTAGGAATGGCCTGCTTTCTGTTCATAGAAGGCTCTTTGCTGTGTCCTGACTTGGTGGAAGAGGTGAGGGGACTCTCTCAGGCTTCCTTTATATGGGCACTAATCCTATGCATGAGGACTCCACTCCTATGACCTAATCACCTCCCAAAGGCCCCACTTCCTAATACTATCACCTTAGGGGTGAGGATTTTAACATGAATTTTGGTAGGAACAAACATTCTGACCATAGCACAAGGTAAAAGAAAGACTAGATTTCGTTTTTCCAAATTAGTTAAATGAAATAAAGAAATATATTCTCAATCATAAGAGTTAGTGAGAAAGACAATATTAGGACATCAACATGCATTATTTTCAAATTCTTCCTGATCATCAATTGTAGTGACCACATTCATCTGCTTTATTATAATGAAGCAAGGAGAAATCAGGAATTTAAATTAATGACTTACATTCTTACATTTTCTCTTTTGAGCAATATAAGTTATCAGGCTTTTTTTTTTTTAAAAAAAGTGAGGCCTTGGGTGATTCATTCAGAAAAAATAAAAAAGGCCATTCCACTCGCTATTGAGAATAGACGTGAATTTTTGAACTTTGCTCCATCCTCAGCCACCTGCTCTTGGCATTCAGTACTTATTGCATTTTCACTGTTGCACAGGAGCCACATTCTCTTCAAAGGGGTGCATTTCCTGTTGCCTTTCATGATGCCAATCTTCATTATGGTCCCTAAATCACCTAGAGTGGACAATTTAACGTGGCCCATCTCTGGAAAATAGCAATTGCTGTGTAAAGATGATTTCACTTTAAGTAAATAACTATGGGAACTGACATGGCCAAAGACCCTACTCCAACGATTACAGCAATTCCCTAGTATGATACTCTGTGCCACATTCTTTAAAAGTTTGACTATATTTACCCAATGAGGTTGAAAGATATAGGATTTAAGCTGTTACACTTTCTTACACGGTGATTATGGAAGCAATAACAAAGTGATAAGAAAATAAACAAATATGATTACCTTACTTATAAGAGGCAGTCCCACCCACATTACAAGCAAATGTGTTCTCTGCTTTCATACATACTATTGTATTCTTGCTGCATTTGCTGTTTACCAAGAGGTGAGTATATGGGTTTTTAATTTTATTATTACAAGGCGATTCTACTCTAAATTATGTTGTAAATATAGGGGAAATATTTCGAAGAGTGAATCACTTAATAGTTTTAAAACTGGGGATATATAGTTAACTTAATAGAATTTATATGACATATAGCCAGGCATATTAGAGCTAAATTTGGTATTATTTCTTTCCTTCTTCAAAGAACTCAGTTTTAGGTAATTACATACCACAATTTTTAGAGACATGAAACATTTTAATGTGGTTAATGTTTCCTTTTTATAAAGTAATATAACTTGCAGTTTCTTTGCTGGCAAAGGAAGACCAGTCTGTGGAGAAAGTAAATGAATTCTTAGTGCATCAAAGAAATAGAGAAAAACAAATGTTATAACTTTTGCTTTGCTCTCCAAATTATCTCCTAGGATTCCCTCTGGGGAATACAAGTAGAAACATTTACCAGGAGCATTGACACAGAAGGAGCTTCTGGTGATCTATTCATTCTATATATACATGACTTGTTCAGCTGAAGTACGAGGCTGTACAAGTAACAACTCTCAGGAGTATTTAAAACATCATTTAAAGTGTTTTTTTTTTTAGAATTTGCAATGATTATATGAAAATATGTGAAACAGTATATATTTATACAGTCTTAACATGAGATAGCACGGTTCTCTGATTGCAGTGATCAGTCACAAATGTGCAAAACTATATTGCAACATGAAGCTATATTTCCTCCAAATCCTTTCAAATGGACCCTTAGGATCCTATTGCTTGGTCATGATCAAAACTGGGTAACTGTAAGTCAGATATAGAACATGAAATATCTATAATAGCTCCTATGATATTTGCAAAAAAAATGCAGGGAAACTCTAAAATTTACAATGGCAGTATAAACTACCGTGAATAAATGAAGAAACAATTCATGTTAAAACCATTCATGCTTTAATAATATATCTTTGTAATAAAACTGATAAATGTATGTTTTATTTGTAACCTTCAGATGTATAAAAGAGTTTTGTTTTGGTTTTGCATTACTTTTAATAACAGAGATTCTGCTTCAACAATTTCTTTTAATGAGAAGTAGTCAACTTAGATTTTATCAGATTCCAAGGCAGATAAAGATGACAAGAATAGAAATTTCTTTTAGAAACTGAAATCAATAAAAATTATTAATTCATTAGAACTCTAACTACAGACTAGTATAAATGGGGACTATTTATTTCAACGATGCTGCTATTGTTCACAACATTTTGCTGTTTCTCTTTCAGATTTATCTTCTGTGCTATGCTATGAGCCACACGAGTTCACTGTCATTATTTTATTGATTGACCTCACATTTATCAAGGCGTTTACAGCTCTATGATGCTGAATTTCTCTCTTTTACTGAGTACCTAATAATGTCTGAGAATTTTTCTTTGTGCCTTTAGTATAACTTCAGCTAATTTCAAATATTTCATTTTCTCCTTGACTGTATTTGTTAACTAACACTTGCCTTAGTGATGAAAAAAAAAATCCTACATTGAATTCTTCATTTATAGTAATATTTGGAATACAGAATTCATAATAAAAGGAGTTTGTGGAGTAGGAAAAGCTCTAGAAAATGAATCAAGAGACCTGAGCTCCAGTTCCACTTCTTGTTCATGTAAATCCAGGTAATTCATAACTAAGTTGGCATCAGTTTTCTCATCAATCAAACGAGAGGGTTGGGTATATAATGTCTTTCTAATATCATTTTTCTCTCTAAAATTCTATGGTTTTTGTAGGAATACATTTACTCAAGGCAAAAGCTCCAATCCATTTAGAATCCAAGATCAGTAGATGGAGTACAAATATAAGATACTGCATCTTCAATATTAAAACTTTTTATTGTATAAAGGAGAAAGTCATGATAATGATGAAGAAAATTATCGTTTCAGTTGTAGGGCAACTGGAAATAGCTTATTCTCCAAATGATGGTAAGGTCATGTAGTCAGATTGAGTTAATATTTCCAATTTCCCATTGTTTGAAAACTACAGAGGTTTCCATTTAAACACTTCACATGTCTTCTTTAAAATCTATATGATTCTTTACAGGCAATGTCTAGGAGTGGACTGATGATCTTAAGAAATCATAACATCTTTTCCATTATTCGATAGCTGCTGTATCAGTAAGTCAGTGTGAACAAACCTCTTCCATACCCAACACAATGGAAGCTCAACTACAGCAGATTCCAGATGAAGGGATGAATCATATACAGTAGAGAATTATGAAGTGAGCTAAGGAAAAATAGATTTTACCTCATTTAACAGTGACTAATATGATGCTTGCAGTAACTAAACATGCAATGTTTAATACCGTGTTAAAAAATTTGACTCAAGGCCAGTGTAGTGCATTCAAATGTAAAGATAATATAATTATTTTTACACTATAAATAAAATTGATAGCAGTAAGATAAAATAGAATTTCATAGTTACAGATCTTAGAAAATTATTCGATGTGAATGTTAAAGATAGCTAAAGAAATGGAAAGAAAACTTACTATATGTACCCCATAGGTTCAGGTGATATAAAATATTTCCAAATGAAATTGAATATTGTTAGTTTACATGAAATTAAAAGATGTCATGCATTAGTCGAACCTACTCTGAGTCATTCCTGAATGAATTATTCTGAAAGCAAAGAGGCGTAAAATGATTTATTTGTGAACCTACACAAAAGAGCTTTGTAGGAGTAGAATTAAGTTGATGGAATAGTTTATAAGAAGCGAGTCTTGTAAATTAGAAGTAATTTTAGTTCTTGAAACAGATATATCTGATTAGGGATTATTGTATTTTAGGACTGAAGAACAGTTGACCTGCAACTGCAGTAAAGTAAACATCATACTGAACAGAAGTTACTCAGAAGTTTGAAATTAACTCACAAGTTCTTTCTTCCACTTTGAATTGAAAATCATCTATGGAGTTCAAAACCTGCCATCAGTGAAATGAAAATCCTAGAGGAAGATGCCAATTTTCATTGTCTATCAGTGCACAAATATTTCATGACAAATGAGAATAATGAGTTACATGGGTGAAACAAATGTGTTTTGAAGTACGAGAGCATAACAAGACAAGATAATACATGGTCACAGGTCTGCAATTTTTATGCCCATCTTGATAAGCTGTTCTGGGTGGATACTGAGAAAAATGGTAGATAGAAGGCAGAACTAAATTGCAGCTCCCAGTCAGACAGACAGAGCAGCGTGTGGAGACTTGAATCATGGACTTTTGTTCCAAGAACTACTTCAGGAATATACTAGGAAAGCCAAGAGAATCCATAGACACCCTGAAGAAAGTGGATTGCTCCTACAGGACCTGGGAGACAACCAAAACACTGTGCTGGTATTCACAGCTGAGAGACCTGAAGATGGTACACATCACAGGACTCTGTCTGTGAAGACAACCTAGTCCTGCTGGGTGGCTAGATCCAGAAGAGAAATAATATCACTACAGTTTGGCTCACAGGAAGCCACATCCCTAGGAAAAGGGGAGACTACTACATCAAGGGAAAACCCCAGGAGGCAAAAGAATCTGAACAGCAACTTTGAGCCCCAGATCTTCCCTCTGACATAGCCTACCAAATGAGAAAGAACCAGAAAAGCAATTCTAGTCATATGAAGAAACAAGGTTCCTTAACATGCCCCAAGAATTACACTAGCTCACCAGCAATAGATCCAAACCAAGAAGAAATCTTTGATTTACCTGAAAAAGAATTCAGAAGGTCAATTATTAAGCTAATCATGGAGGCACCAGAAAGAGGTGAGGTCCAATTTAAGGAAATCAAAAAAATGAAACAAGATACCAGGGGAGAAATCTTCAGTGAAATAGATAGCATAAATAAAAAGCAATCACAACTTCAGTGTATATGTTGAAGGCATAGCAAGCAGGCCAGTATTGCTAGAGCCAAGGGAGACCAGGAAAGAGTACAGATGCTTCTAGACTTACGAAGGGGTTATGTCCTGATAAACCCATTGTTAAGTCAAGGAGCATCTAAATTGAAACTATCTTAAGTCAAAAATGCATTTAATACACCTAAGCTGCCAAACATCATGGCTTAGCCTAGCCTACCTTACCGTCCTCAGAACACTTACATTAGCCTACATTGGACAAAATTAGCCAATACAAAGCCTATTTTATAGTAAAGTGTTGAATATCTCATGTAAGTTCCTGAATACTGAAGTGAAAGTGGAAAACTGAATGACTGTATGCATACTCAAAGTACAATTTATGCTGAATGTGTATTACTTTTGCACCATCATAAAGTCAAAAAATCATAAATTGATTCATCATAAGATAAGGACCATATATAAGAGGAAAGGAGGTCAGAGAAGAACGGAAAGGGGAGGGGACAAATGGTAGCGGGACTTGTAGAACATGGTAAAGTATTTTAACTTTCTTTGAGAGAAATGGGAAGCAATTGGTGGGTCATGAGCAGAAGAGTGATGTGATCTGAGTTTTAAAGGATGGTTGTGGCAGCTTGATTGAGAAATGACTGAAGAGGTCAAGGTTAGAATCACAGAAATCATTCTTATATAAATACATGTTAGGTAAATAAATGAACTGCAAGTGAGAATGTATACTTTCTACATGTCCAATTAAAATAAATTTTATTCTGTTGTTTAAAATGGCTATTATTTCATAAAAAGCTAAACATTATTTTCAGTTACCTATAAAATAAACAAGAATTAATTTTTTGCAATTTTAAAAATGTAAATATCCAAACAATAAATTTTCACTATTTCTTATCATAATTAGATACATTATATAATGGATATTTAATAAGCACACAGTGGCTTAAAGCATATAAATACATGCTTAAATATAATATGTATTAGTAATGTCCATTTCAACGAGATCTAGAAAAAAAGTTACAAGGTTTGAGTTTCTATGAGCTCTACCAGCTATAGTCACGTGCACAGAGCTACAATTATGCACTAATACCCATACATGTCAGATGCTCATAGATACTTGTAGAAAGAACATTCCACATTTAGAAAGTAAGTGCAGAAAAATTTGACTGCTGTCAGGAAGCCAGTAGTGCTGACTATGATCAGTGTCCCATACCTTATTTGTTCCTTATAATTTTGATAAGTGGCCAGGCGTGTTGGCTCACGCCTGTAAATCCTAGCACTTTGGGAGGCGGAGGTGAGTGAAGCACCTGAGGTCAGGAGTTCGAGACCAACCTGACCAATATAGTGAAACCCTGTCTCTACTAAAAATACAAAATTGACTGGGCGTGGCAGTGCATGCCTGTAATCTCAGCTACTTGGGAGGCTGAGGCAGGAGAATTGCTTGAACGCAGGAGGCAGAGTTTGCAGTGAGCCGAGATCACACCATTGCACTCCAGCCTAGGCAACAAGAGCGAAACTCCGTCTCAAAAATAATAATAATAATAATAATAATGATAATTTTGATGTTTGATTTCTCTGAATTAAAACATCTCATAGATGAATGGTCTCAATCCCTGAACTTGGATTTTGGATGGTTACAAAAGAGAAAGCTGTACAGCATATTGGTTGAGATCCTGGGCTTGGGGAGTCAGATAGACCAGGATGAGAATCCTACTCTGGCATTTACTACTTTAACACAGCCTTTGGCTTACAAGATATAATACTTATTTGTATATTTTGTTTTTGTTTCATTTTGATTTTCTGACCCAGCCCGGGGCTGGATCATTGGTTGCTAGTAGTCCAGAACTTCACCAACAGATGTCCTCAGAGCTGAAAATAACAAAGCTGATTCAATTACTTCAGGAACCGTTTTGCTTCAGCTTTAGGAATCCAGGTGACAGTGTTGTGTAAAGGAACAGAAAAATGCCAGAGTTTGGTGGAATGGAGTGGGTTCTATAATAAATCACCCTAATTAGAAAGCTTGTGGCTCCAGTGTCTGTAAAAACAGGACACTGACTGAAATCAGCCCTTGTTTTCTTTTTGAATTTCTCTCTGGCTCTGATGTATAATGTCCTTTTCTTTCATGTAATCTCTATGGTCCATAAACAAAAATGATATTTGTCTTCAAAGATAGCATTAAATTGCAAAATTATGCTACTTGGAGAAAATAAGAAAAATTGATTTGCAAGTCAATTGAAGACCCAGCTATTTCTGTGGAATCTACTATGTATATACTACAATATAGATAATAAGGAAGAACAATAAAGGGGTTTTTAAATATACTTTGCTCCAATGTAGTTATAACAGAAGAAACTATCTATGAGGTTATAATGGAGGATATAGACTTGATGCCATGACACCTAGGAATCCAAGACCCTCATCTGCAAGAATGGAAATAGGTTGTGATGAACTATGCTGATGACATGAACCTGCGTATAAATGGTTTAGAGTGTCTCTGAAGGTCAGCTGCTTTCCTTAACACTCAGGCATACTTAGAGAATTCATTTCTACCCAGAAGCCTCTTAGATTTTGAATTAGGATTTCAAGTAATCTTCATTTTCTCCAGACTATTGTCTTCTTTGTCTTCTGTCAAAATTTTTGTTGAATTAGAAGACTATAAGAGCATCTGAAGGAGAAAAAAAGTCTTCTTTATGAACTATTAATGCCATGTTTCACATCAAACATTTCATTAAGTCAAACTATGTGAATATATAATGACATCTAGTATTCTATAATTTCTTAAATTACTTATTGAGTTACTTGTCAATGAATAAGTTATATGATTATTGATTAATTTGACATTTATAACTAGTAGTAACATGGTTTATGTCTGAGCTTGTACACATACACAAATATGTCTACATATGCAAATAATTTTAAAATATATTTTATAAATCAAAGTGTAGCTGCAACTCAATACATACTTAAGGTTATAAAAGAATTTTAAGCATATCTAAAAACATAGAAAAGATTATTTTAGCACAAAAGTCACATAATATACGTATATAATTCAAGTGAATGACTCACAAGTGATTTAATAAACCTTAGTTTTTTTTACCACCAATTAACAGAAAATTAGTAGGAAACCAACTGAAAATAACTAGATCTTAGTGGATACCATGTAATACATTTTCTAGGGAAAAATATGCTACAAGACATCTTCTTTGAGGTTTCAATACCGTAGAAAATACATATTGGAGACCATGACACAGCAGTGAATTAAAGCATTATTTATTCACATAATAACTAAATATCTATGGCTGCCACCATGAGGATGGACTAGGATAGGCCCGTTTGACTAGAATGAATTATTGAACGTCAAGTAAAAGAATCTAATAAATTTCTTTGCAATACTTAATTTTGGTAAAAAGTCTAGATGCACGGGCATTTATTATTAAATGTTGATTGTAGTCTACTACATATGTTTTCACTTAAAAGTATAATTCCACGTGTCACTTGTAAAATTTTAATACAAAGTATTATTTTCTGAGAAGATGGTAAGATAAAGTTCAAGGTTTTGGACTTGTGCAGGTTTTATTTATATTATGGGAAGAGGATGACTGGAAGCAGAAATAACTCATCTTGCACAGAGGATCCATCTAGTAAGTTATAGAGTATTCTATTATTGCCAAGTTTAAGGGATTATACACCTTGAGATGTAAAATGTAGCAAAAATGCTCTCCATCAACAAATTACCCACAAATCCCCATCTGAATTGTTCACTGACATTAAACAGACATTGCTATTTTAAAAGACAATAAGACTGACTGATAAAAATTCTATGACCTTTCCTTTTCCTCTTTCTTCCACAACAAAAATGGTCTACTTCAAAATGTCAAGGAAGGCATAAGAACTTAATCTTGAATCTGTCATATGAGTTGATGAATTCATTGCCAATATAGCATTGGCAGTCGTTAATGTACATGCAAGCATCCCATCTATATTTGCTGCTTCACTTAAGTAAAGAAAAAGAAGATCTAAAACCTATCATTGGAAATTCAAAACAACAACATTTTACTTTAAAATTGGATTTCTATGTATTTTCTCCTTAGGTTTCATATATTAGGATTCTTTTGCTATGTTAGCTACTCACACATTAGAAGTTAGTACTTTTATCAGAAAAAAAATACAGGTACTAACTTTGATACGTTTCTGATATGTGCTCAGGGGTGTCTAATTAGCTTTCAATACCATGTCTCCTGTGTTTTCATATTCTGAAAAATAATGAATGAGTTTATTAAGGTAACTTGCAGAGTAACTTCAAATAACAAATGAAGATGACAGACGTAACTTCATGAATTCCTATAATGCGGGGAGGAAAAAAAATAACTATCAAGACAATGAACTTATTTTATAAAACAATTGTTTTGAGATTTCTTCTGACCTTATTGCAGTTATTAAAACAAATACAAATTAAAAATTAACATTATTCTGGATTTAATAAAATCTGTTTAAACAATTTTTTAAAACTCATTTTTTAATGTTTAAGACATTTACTAATATTCTGATTGTGTTGAGAATATTTCTAGTGTAGAGTTGGGGCCAGTGGGAAAAAGAGTATAAAGCTTCATATTCTAAGTCATTTTCTCTGTGGTTGTTCTTTGTAATCCCTCCAAATGTATTATTTTCAAGCTAATTATTATTTACTTCTATATAAAAGTAGCTTCCCTGTATCTAACCCAATGGGAGTTAGATGATATGTTTATGTACCCTGTCTATAGCTGAATTATTTCATGTTTCTGAGAAGCAAGTAACCTAGACACAACAGTAAAAAAACACGTACCAAATTGAAAAGGAATGTTCTTCGTATACTCTTCAGCTCTGTTTTCACTAAGGCTATATGATTGTATCTTCATATTCTCTTTTGTTTGATTAATAAGATTTATAAGTTCTCTTTCCTTCAAAGAGCTCAAAAATCAAGACAAGTAGAAAAGAACTAGTAAACATTTGGAAATATCTGAAAAATTTAGGTAAAAAAGGAAAAGAAACAGAGAAAGAATATTTTTAAAAAGGAAAGATGAAGGGCAAGCATTTCCACCTATTCATCATATTAGCTAGCAACACTGTATAGCAGGAAATAGCCCTATTCCTGCTTTTAGAAGCGATAGTAGACAGTGCTCTGTTACATTCCTGAATACTCTTATCAGATTTATCCTCATTATTTTATTTTCTTTCCATTCAACATTATTAATTATTACTTGGTGCTATTAATTCTGTCATTGGCCCTTTTCTTTATTTCTTATTCACCACTGAGTTTATTGCATAGACATTAATGTTAAAAGACAATACAGGAGTAGCTTACAATCAAAATGTTCTTGAGAAATGAATTTATCTTATTTCTTTATCAAGCATCATTAATTTTCTCTGCCTTGTTGATGTATTTATGAAATCTATAAAAGTTATTATGATCAACAACATTTCTACGATGCAATTCTATAGTACAACTATGGAAAATGTAAGGGATAAGATTTTATTTTTACAAGTGGTTAGCACTACATATAATGTTGTTTAAACAAAATCCCCCTCATCTATTCCAGAAAGTGGAGGAGAAAAGCAGCCTATTACAAGGGAGAACTCAGACTGAGACAGAAGATACAGATTATGCTTCTCTATCTGTCTTGACTTACTACCTGACCTTGATAAAATAATGTTAACAGCCACATTGTTAATTAGCTTATAAAATAGTTAATGACATTTTCTTGCTTTGTGCTGCCTAATTATTAATTAAATAATAACTTTAATTTGCTTCTACAGGCATGAGGAAAGGTCCAGGTGGATATAATCTTCAAACATCATCATTCATTAGCCTCATAGTCTGTAAGTCACAAATTATTCATTTATGGAGTCCCTACTATATCTAGAATAACGGGCCAAAATAATGTGCCTAGCATGAGGAAAGGTCCAGATGGATAAGATCTTCAAACATCATCATTCATTAGCTTCATAGTCTGTAAATCACAAATTATTCATCTACTGAGTTCCTACTATACATAGAATAATGTGCCAAAACTTGAGGACCCAAAGAACTTAGAAGACAGGGGCAAGACAAAAAAAACGTTTGTACAACCAGCTTTCAAGAAATTTAAAATCTAATTTAGGGCTAGAATACACAAAGTAAAGTTTTCTCATCTAGCTAAGTTTGTAAACACTCAGTTATATAGACATTGTCCAGACTCAACAGAGGGCCCACTTCAGTTTACATATAATGTATAATTGAACGTCCAAAAATAGCATTGAATGCTATTGAGGTGGGTATTAAATTTAGCAGTATCATTTTCATAAGCTTCTTGATTAGAAATAATTTTTAAATGTCATTGCTAAAGGCACAATGTATTTTTTGAATACAGACTGAAAATTTCCACTAGATAATTCAAAACTAGTTTGGTAAAATTAAAAATTGTATTTAATGTGATTCTCTTTTTCTTGAAAGGCAAAGTCATTTCACATAAAGAAATACACGTAGATATATAGCTTTATATAAAACAGTTTATGTGTGTTCCCTTATGATAATGTCCAATATGGGTAATTCTGAAATAAAACCTAAAATGCCACTACAGGTTTAACAATTATTACCTCCTTTTTTCCCCACTCTTTACTGTAATATTATCCACCATATCACAGGGTAAGGTGAAAACCGACTCCGTAAAGCTATTCTGAAAGCAAGTCTGAATTTCTAAGTGCTTTTGGTTGATTTTTAAAATGGTAGAACTATATAGGCTTATACCAATATTCTTCAATTGATTTGTTATAAGTTCTATTCTACCTAACACTAAACAAGGCAGATGGAATTTCCAAAATGAATCTGACCTTAAAGATTGGCCTTCCAAACAGCTTTGGTGCAAACCCATTTTGAAAATGGACTTTGCCTGAATGCTGTCCCTTACACATTTAAAATGAGACAGCTATTTGAGTTTCAAATAATGGTGTTTAGTCCCAAGCCAACTTCAGCAAACAGTCTTCATCATGATTCTGATTATATAAAACACTTAATTTGATTAGAAATATTCTCATGTTTGGTCAGCTATTTCTCTTGGAAAATGTTTCATATTAGCAATTGGGGAGCACAAAATAGAAATCATTTCATCATCTACAAGAAAAGATAAATGGAATAATTTAACTACCTTCATATATTCTTTTCTCTTTTTTGAGTTTATTTTTTTCTATTTTTATTTTAAATTCAGGTGGTACATGTGCAGGTTTCCTACCAAGGTATATTGTGTGATGCTGAGGTTTGGAGTATGAATGAACACATCACCCAGCTAGTGAGCATAGGACCCAATAGGTACTCTTTCAACCCTTGCACCCCTCCCTCACTCCCTCCTTTTGAATACTTTAGTGTCTATCATTCTCATCTTTATGTCCATAAATGTTTACCTCCCACTTATAAGTGAGAACATGCAGTATTTGGATTCTGTTTCTGTATTTGTTCACTTAGGAAAATGGCCTCCAAATGCATTCACATTGCTGCACAGGATATGATTTTGTTCCTTTTTTACGGATTCGTAGTATTCCATGGGATATATGTACCACATTTTCTTTAACCAATCCACTGTTTATGGGCATCTAGGTTGATTCCACATCTTTGCCATTGTGAACAGCAGTGCAATGAACATATGAGTGCATGTGTCTTTTTGGTAAAATGATTTATTTTCCTTTGGGTCTATACTCAGTAATGGGGTTGCTAGGTTGAATGGTAGTTTTCTTTTTTTCATTTGTTGTTTGTTTGTTTGTTTGATAATCCTTGAAACTGCTTTCCACGGTGGCTGAACTAACTTACATTCCCCCTAGTTGTGTATAAGCATTCCCTTTCCTCTGCAGCCCTGCAACCATTATTTTTTAACTTTTTAATAAAAGCTATACTGACTCTTGTGAGATGATATTTTATTGTGGTTATGATTTGCTTCTATCTGATGACTACTGACGTTGAGTATTTTATCAGATGCTTGTTGACCACATGTATATCTTCTTTTGAGAATTTTCTGTTCATGTCCTTTGCCTATTTTTAGTGGAGTTATGTGTTTTTTGCTTCTTGAGTTGTTTAAGTTCCTTAGAGATTCTGGATATTAGTCCCTTGTTGGATTTGTGTTTGTGAATATTTTCTCCCATTCTATAGGTTGTCTGTTTATCCTGTTGATAGTTATCTTTTGTTATGCAGAATCTCTTTAGTTTAATTCGATCACACTTGTCAATTTTGGTTTTGGTTGTGATATAGTTTGGATATGTGTCCCCACCCAAATCTCATGTTGAACTGTAATGCCTAATGTTGGAGGTGGGGCCTGGTGAGAGGTAATTAGATCATGGAGTTGGACGACTCACGAATGGTTTAGTACCATCCTATTGGTGTTGTCCTTGCAATAGTGAGTGGCTTCTTATGAGATCTGGCTGTTTAAAAGTGTGGCACCCCTGACTTGCTCCTGCCCTGGCCATGTAAGGTGCCTGCTCCCCCTTCACCTTCCACCATGATTGTAAATTTCCTGAGGGTTCCTCAAAAGCTGAATAGATGCCAACCTCATGGTTACTGTGTAGCCTGCAGAAGTGTGAGCCGATTAAACCTCCTTTCTTGATAAATTACCCAGTCTCTGGTATTTCTTTATACAAATGTGAGAATGGACTAATACAAAAATTTGGTATTTTTGTACCAAGGAGTGGGTATTTCTATAAAGCTACCTGAAAATGTGGAAGTGACATTGGAACTGAATAGCAGGTGAAGGTTTGAAGAGTCGGGAGGGCTCCAAGGAAGACAGGAAGATGAGGAAAGTTTGGAAGTTCTTAGAGACTGGTTAAATAGTTGTGATCAAAACGCTGATAGTGATATGGACCATGAAGTACAGGCTGCTGTGTTCGCAGATGGAAATGAGGACCTTATTGGGAAATGAAGTCAATGTCACTTTTGTTATGTCTTAGCAAAGAACTTGGCTGCACTGTATTCATGACCTACGGTTCTGTGGGAGTTTGAACTTGAGAATGATGATATAGAGTAACTGGCAGAAGAAAATTCTAGCAGCAAGTGTCCAAGAAGTGCTGTGCCTGCTCCTAACAGCATATGTTCAGATGTGGGAGTGAATAAATAAGTTGGAACTTATACTTAATGGGGAAGCGGAGCATAAAATGTTGAAAAATTAGCCAAGTGTCAGAAAAAGAAAAAGCTTTTTTGGGAGAGGAATTCAAGCAGGTGGTGGAGCAACCACTTGCCAGAGAGATTTGTATAGCTAAAAAGCCAAGGGTTGATTCCAAGACAATGTGGAAAAGGCCTCGGAGGCATTTCAGCGACCTTTGAGGTAGCCTCTCCCATCACAGGCCCTGAGGCCTATGGGGAAAGAATGGTTTTGTGTGCCAGGACCAGGGTCTCACTGCCCTGCATAGCCTTGGGACACTACTCCTCACATCCCAGTTGCTTTGTTCCCAGTCTCAGCTCTAAGGGCCTCAGATACAGCTCACACCACTGCTTCAGAAGATGCAAGTCATAGCCTTGGTGGCTTCCATGTGGTGTTAAGCCTGTGGGTGCACTGAGTCAAGACTTGAGGCTTGGGATCCTCTGCCTAGATTTCAGAGGATGTATGAATAAGCCTGAGTGCTCCAGCAGAAGCTTGCTGCAGGGATGGAGCCCTCAACAGAGAAACTCTAGTAGAACAGTGCAGAGGAGAAATGCGGGGTTGGAGCCCCCACAGAGTCCCTACTGGGGCATTGCCTAGTGGAGCTGTGAGAAGAGGGTCACTGTCATCCACTGAGAGCTCATACTGTGCACCTGGAAAAGCTGCAGGCATTCAGTGTCAGCCCAGGAGACCAACTGTTGGGGCCAAAGACCAGAAAGCCACAGGGACAGAGCTGCCCAAGGCCTTGGGAGCCCATCCTTCCCACCACTGTGCCTTGGATGTGGGACATGAAGTCAAAGGAGACTATTTTGTAGCTTTTAAGATTTAATGACTCTCCTGATGGTATGGGGTCTGTAGCTTCATTCTTTGGCCGATTTCTCTTTTTTGGAATGAGAATGTTTACCCAATGCTGGTTTTTCCATTGTATTTTGGAAGTAAATAACTTGCTTGATTTTCTAGGATCATAGGCAGAAGAAACACATCTCTAGATGAGAATTGGGATTTTGGACTTCGGAATTAATGCTGAAATGAGATAAGATTTGGGGGGACTATAGAGAAGGAATGATTGAATTTTGCAATGTGAGAAGGACATGAGATTTGAGGGGGCCAAGAGTGGAATGATATAGTTTGGATAAGTGTCTGCACCCAAATCTTATGTTGTATTGTAATGCCCAGTGTTGGAGGTGGGGCCTGGTGGGAGGTGACTGGATCATGGGGTTGGATCCCTCATAAATGATTTAGCACCATCCCCTTGATTCTGTCCTCACAATAGTGAGCAACTTCTTGTCAGATCTGGCTATTTAAAAGTGTGGCACTTCTCTCTTGCTCCTGCTCTGGCCATGTGATGTGCCTGCTCTCCCTAGGCCTTCCACCATGATGGTAAATTTCCTGAGGACTCCCCAGAAGGTGAGCAGATGCCAGTATCATGCTTCCTGTATAGCCAGAGGAACCATAAGCCAATTAAATCTCTTTTCCTTATGAATTACCCAGCCTTTGGTATTTCTTTATAGCAATGCGAGAATGGGCTAATACAGGTTGCAGTTGCTTTAGAGGACTTAGTCGTAAATTCTTTCCCAAGACAAATGTTAAGAAGGGTATTTCCTAGATTTTCTTCCAAGATTTTTATAATTTGAGGTCTTACATTTAAGTATTTAATCTATTTTTATTTAATTTGTGTATACAGTGACAGATGGGGGTCTAATTTCATTCTTCTGTATGTGGATAGCCAGTTTTCCTAGCAGCATTTATTGAATATGGAGTTATTTATTCATGGCTTGTTTTTGTCCACTTTGTCAAAAATCAGATGTTTGTATGTGTGTGGTTTTATTTCTGGGTTCTGTAGTCTGTTACATTGGTCTTTATGTCTATTTTTGCATGGGTATCATGCTGTTTTCATTACTGTAGCTTTGTAGTATAGTTTGAAGTCAGGTAAGGTGATGCCTTCAGTTTTGTTCTTTTTGCTTAGAATGGCTTTGACTACTCAGGCTCTTTTTTGCTTCCATATTATCTTCATATCTTTTATTCAGTTTATGTTGAATTTCACATAAAAGTAAATAAATTCAAATCCATAGCTTTGAGCAGCCCACCAGTAGTTAGAAATAGAGAAGAAGCAAGGTATATACTTTAACATTTTCTCTGATACCTGAGCTTCAGGACACCAACCAGCATGACCCAGCCACTTACGCAGAGTAATTGCTAGCAATAAAAATGAACAATTTGATTTGATTGCCTATTGGTTATTTACAAGCATTTTCCAGGCTTGTGTGTTTCTATTTCTGCCACCTGAAGACCAACGTCATGTTGTATAAAATTAGGGGTGATTGTCTCAGTAAGTGAATATAATTTGCTCTAATAGATAGTGATAGGTAGTGGGGTCTAAATCCAACAATAATTCAAGGCAGGAAACAGTATTATGTGGTGAAATGCTTCCAACATTTGGAAAAGAATGAACTTTATTTGTATGCAATCTCATGAATTGGATTATGTGCTTGTACATGTTTTTATATAGCCTTGTCTCAGTCTCCAGGCTCAAATTACTCAATTAAAAAAAGGAACATTGTGACAGTTCACAGCTGCGAAGTGTGCACTCTGCTATCCCAACATGGATTAAGCTAATCAATACAGAGTGTAGCCTAAACTCTCCAAAATACCAGAAGCTAATTTAATAACTGTCTACTTAAGAAACAAGAAATTAATATAACATTTACTTAAGACAGTTATTTGAATAAGAATCTTCTATGTGGAAAGGTTGTCAGCTTAATTTATTGTGTTATTTGAAAAGGTGATTTAAACATGAGAACAGGTCTTAGAAAATTGAATTATGACTTATTTTGTGAATATTGGGTTTTCATTGTAAAACATATTTAAAGCATTAACCATCCCCAACACCCACACCTCCCCAACCCTCTCACTATCCTTCTCAGCAAACTGAATAGGCAAAAATATTTCTATTTATTAGCTATGGAAATTTATATGTAAGAGGGGACAATATAATGTAGAGTTTAAGAATATGTCTAATTAAAAGCTGTTGGACTTTATCTGCATTTCTTAGTATGGATCTTTAAACATAATAAACACTCTGTAAGTGGTGGATATAGATACAGTATTCATTTTGCCCACAGTAAATCCCCATCTTTTATACACATATTCATATTTAACATCTTTAGAAAACCCTGAAGATGGTCTTTCCGGAATCAAGACCTGGTTACTCCAATTAATCCCTAGGAATCTACTCAAATTACTGAAACAGACTTACTCACTTTCTTCTCTGTAATCAGGTAGGCCCTCATATCAATACATATCTCTATTACACAGTTTGTTCATGTTGCATTACATATTTAAATTATTATGTCTTTCTTTCTTCATTGATTATGAACTTTACTCAAGCTAGGATCTTGTCTTATTCAGCTCTGTATCCCAAGACCAAGAACAATGAGTACATCCAGGACATTCAGTGTTGAATGAATGACCTATGAATGTCAGCATTTTTTTCCTGTGATGCTAATGGATACAATGTAGTGCTTTCTCTGAAAAACTAATGGATTGGCAGAAACCAGAGGTCTATTAACTTACCAAAGGGAGCAAGAACTCACTATTACTTATCTGCTATAAGCAAGCCGCAGGGCTAGATGCTTCCAGAGAACTTGTGGAATTCATCAATATGTTAGCAGTACAAGGCACTGGGATCTTGGACTTGGATCATGGTGGGAGCTTGCCAATTAACAAATGCAAATTTCCTACCTTACAAGACAAACTGAAAATTGCATTCCACTGGCCATATATGCAGCCTCAGTGTTCCAGCTATCTCCAGTAACTTTTCAGCTACATAAAGATCACAAATGGTTCTACTATGTATTAAACATGTCATAGTTTAAGTAGTATAAATTCACTGTGTGAAGGCTGAGAAATACTTCACATCTACATTTATTTTTGGAGAAATCTGATGTCACTTGGAGTGGGACATCAAATATTTAGAGCCTGTCAACCCCTCCAGTGTAGATATAAAACTAGAAGACAGCGCTGTAAGGAACTGAATCAAAAAGTAACTTGTATGAATTGTTTGGTAGGGCTGAGTTTGAGTCCTCAGACACTATGACTATTTTCTTAAAAAAAAAACCTTATGTTGCCCACTTTGCTGTGAATTAATTGGCTCAAAATTCTTACTGAAAGAGATGCAGCTACAAAGAGATAAAAGCTGTCCATGCATTGCGTGACTCATAAGTGTGAGAAATATTTAGAAACTTTGAAAACTTTGAGTGAATTTGAGGTCAAGTAACTGCGCAGCATACAGTTTCCACTACAGCATATGTGGCAAAAATCAATGGATTCACAGGTTAATCAAAAATGCCCTAACAAAAAATTATAAATATATATATTCTTGAATTTAATGAAAAAGTTTTCATATGTTGTCAGATTTGGGTTTTGAAATTTACAAGGCTGAAATAATGTGAATGATCAATTATTAATGAAAGACTTTGAATATATTTTTCACATATATGCAATAAACATTTTTATATATTTGTTATCAGAAACATGGACTACCTCTGGTTTTCTTTAATAAATGTTAACTATTCAGCATTACAATGAAAATCTTGAAATATCTTGAAAATATCTCAAGATTCAATTTTATGACCTTGAAGTCATCTTATTTCAGAATAATTTTGTGTGTGAATCCTCCAGATTAAATTTGAAAAAGGATCTTCCATGCATGTCAAATATAACATAAGAATAAATCAAATTATTTTCTTATAATAGTTATTATGTAATTTTGACATATTTATATGACAACTTCCTTTTTTTATTTTTTTCTATTTTGATAATTTTGGTAGATACCTTCCTTGTAATTTATATAATAAGCACAAACAAAATCACTAAGATAATTGCTATAGCTGTTCTCTTGTGGTAGGTGTCATCTACAAACATTTAAAATACATCTCAAAAGAGAATTTCTAATTGATTATAGCTTTGCTACTATGACCACCAACGGCATAAAAGTAGATCAATTACTGCAAAACTTAGATATTAAATAGAGAAGGTAGGTATTAACTGTCAAATCGTGATCACTATTGTAAATATTTTAGAAACACACACACACCCAATATCTATCTATCTACACCCATACATGTATTTATTTATATGATACTGGCTAGAAATTAATGACCTCATTGTAGTATAGTCTTAGCTTTACCAACAAAATACATTTAAGGAAATTTTCTGCACAATGTTTCTAGTAGTTGCTTTTTGTTACTCATTGTAAGTGTGATTTTCACACTGTTTGGAAAACTCAGACCTGCTCCATTAACAGATGAAGTGTTATTGATCTGATACTTGCAGATTAGAGAGGAGTTCATTTTCACCCTTTTGTTATCATTTGGTTGCTACTAGTCCAACAATGGATTGGAAAACATGCCTGTGCATGCAAAGCCCATTCGAGATAAATAGATTTCGATTTCCTTCAAACGCCTTGATTTTCACTTATTTTCAGACAGCTTTCAGGAATGAAAGCCTAGAGCACATTACTTTCAGATTCCTGATTATAGATGCAAGCATGATTTAAACTTAAGAAGCTACTTACACATGAATGAAATAAAAAAGCAATCTCTCATGTTGGATGAAGAGTCACTCGAGGTCTAAAATTATGAACTTTGGTGTTCATTTGGAACTGAAGGCAGTTATTTCTATGCTTTGGGCTCTGAAAAAAAAATTTATTTTACATAGATTCAAGGTGGTTCCATGCATCCAATGTTGGGAAAATAATTCCTTGTCTTCATGCTAAAAAAGGAAAAGGGGGTTTGGGAATGTCAGTAATAGAGTAAATTGTGTTTTTTCCCTTACCTGTAAATGATTGACTATAAACCCTAGACCCTGAGAGATAGGCAATATACAGTTGACCCTTGAACAACAAGGGTAAGGGGAACCAGCCCTTCTTACACCTGAAAATCCACATATAACTTTTGACTCCCCCAAAAGGTAACTACTAATAGCCTACTGTTGACTGAAAGCCTTACCGATAACATAAACAATCGATTAACACATTTTGTATGTTATATGTACTACCTACTGTATTCTTATAATAAAGTAAGCTAGAGAAAAGAAAACCTTATTAAGAAAATCATAACGAAGAGAAGATTCATTTAGAGTACTATATTGTGTTTGTCGATACTATAAGTTTATCTTGTCTGTTTACAAGATGAATCAGTTGTATGAAATGGCGGGCAATGCAGCTGCCAACCTTAATCTATGGCACATGGCAAGCAATTCAAGTTTTTCCTGTAATGGCATGACTTTTCTCTGCTTTTTGGGAGTACTTCCAGCATGACGACTGGCACTTCGTATGGCTCCCATGGTGTTATTGAAGGTTTATGGTATTGCACTAAACATGATGAAATACACACAAGACCTGAAAGATCACTTTTTACTACAATACACAATTTACTAGAGAGAGAACTGCTCACTTGGAGATAATTAGCATCACAGGGAGTTTAAAGGAGATACTTGCAACAGTTCAGCTCACTGTAGTAGAAATAGGAGGTGACTATGAAATTATTACAGTAGTACAGTGTTTACTACACTAAACTTATGCAGTTATAATTTAATACTACATCTTTATGTTTGATTATATCACTCTCAACTGCAAATGGTGCTGTGTATGGTCTGTGTTTCTGCGTGTAAATTTTGATCAATGTTAATATTTTATTAAAGATTTGTGTATAATTTATGGTAGTAAATGATAAAATAGACTAGTGTCTACATTTATTTTATGTATTCATGACATACCTTTTTCTTAATAATTTCAATTTCTGTGGGCTACACAGTTTGTAAGTTTTTCCAAATTGTCAGAAATTTCAAAACAATTTACAGTATTCATTGAAAAAAATCAACGTATAACTGGATCCATATATTTCAAACCCATGTTGTTTAAGAGACAACCACAGTCTGAAAGCGAATGCTATTGTCAGAGCCTGAAATGCAAATGGAGACTTTCCAAGGCAGCCAAACTAGAACAGCACAAAGTTAAAGTAGATCCCAACTCAAACTTTCAACACTGATAATAATTTGCTGGTTTTCTATGAGAATAAAATACTTTATGGTTTTTCTGTCATTGAAGATGTTAATAAGTGTGTGTTGCTTAATTGAACTTTACTTTCCAAAAATATCATAGATGATTTATATATGCTAAATTGGTATCAAAGACTGAATGGAACAAAGTATATAAACCAAATTAGGCAAATTGTCACCTGAAACTAACAATTAACTTGTCCTGGCTGTCTACAACCTCTACTCAGATAATAAAACCTGCTCTATGACCACCTTCCCTCAGGAAAGTTCTCAAAGTGAGTTCTTTCAATATCTTGACTTATGTTGCTGCACATGGGCTTATATCAGGAAATTCACTTTGAGTAAATTTCTGAATAGCGAAAATTATTTCCAAAGCAATTTTTGGGAAATTGAACGCTTGATAAAACATTAGTTATTTAGTACAGAATGCTGTCTCGAACAGGTAGGAATAATTTCATCACTCTATGACTCACACAGGCATCAATTGTCAGCTCTATTACACAAGCCATAAAAAAGAAAAAAAAAAACAAAATATCTTCTCATGCAAGACATTAGGATTTAAATCTCCTGTAATTCAAATACTTTATACGTATTAAGCCATTTAAACTTCACAACAACGTTATTCATCAGGTGTCAATATCATCATGCTCATTTTGAAGATATTAAAATTAAGTCACAAAAGTTTTACATAACTTATTGAAGTTCTTATTGTCACTTCATGGTGTGAGTAGGCATTAAACCCTAATAGTTTTTAGCAAAAATAAGGGCATGAAACTAATTCCTTCTGTTGCCTCCCATGTACATGTTGCATAAATGCTTCTACCCTCACAGTTTCTAACCTGGGATTTAATATAACAATATTTCCTATTTGGTAACCCCTCTGAATGCCTAGACATAAACCCAAGTTGTTAAGTTTCCACTGGGTCTAACCCAAATTCTCAACTTTATTCTAAACTTTAATATGCATCAGGATAAGCTAGCAGTCTATGGAAACATCCATTTTTGAGGCTTATTCCTGAAGTTCTGGATTCAGTAGGTCTGGGTAGGGCCTGAGAATGTGTATTTCCAACCAGTTCCCTGCGCTGCTGCTGCTGCTGCTGCTGCTGTTGCTGCTGCTGCTGTTTTAGTAACTACATTTCAAGATTGATTGGTCAAATTACCCAATTTGTTGCCTGTTAATAAACACAATATTTTGTAAAAGCATATGGTAAGGATAAGTTGTCATTTATCTTTAGAAATTGTGAGAACATATTTGTAAATTAAAGCCAATAATTGTTACTGATTTAATTTTTTATTAACTGAAAGTGAGTATCAACAGGGAGTAGTGATAGTGGTACTTTAATAAACACATAGGAGCTCAAATTAAAAACTTTGAGAACTCACATCTTATGGTCTTCACCTTTATATGTCAGAGGCATGCACGTGAATGCACACATGTGTGCATGCACGCACACACACACACACCTATATACAAGTAAAAGTGTGGGAAAGTAAGACAAAAGGCTAACCTGAATATTGTTACAAATGTAGCTGCCCTGGGATACAAATAAATAAAAGCTATTGTCAAAAGTAATGCAATGGTCATTAGAAAGGTATTTACTTGCTTTCTTAAATTTTCTTATTTATACAAGTCTCATTACACTGAATATCATGCCATTTTCTTCAAGAAATTTAAGAGACTTTAGCACTTAAGTATCAGCACATAATTTGCAAATGGTGGTGATTTCACTGTAACTGTATTAATAGGGCATCTTTAACAGTTTATAATTACAGACTTCAGGTTGTGAATATAAACCCTCGTTATGGCATGTATTATAATTAATGTGTGCCAGATAATGCTATTTATTTGAACGTCCATTATTCATGGAACAGTACATTGAGCAACAAGGAGAAGGAAAGATGGAAAATAGGGTTATTGACCACAATTTATTTTAAATTATAGTTGTAATGATGTAACAGTGCAAATAAATTGAGAAAAACTGAGTTCAACACACTTGAGAGAATGTATATTAATACCTGGTGATAAGGGATAGGAGATTAATCAGAGAAGGCTTTGTAGAGGACATAATTTTTAAACCAAATGTTTTAAGGTGTAAATTGGTTAAAAAGGAAGAGAACCATTTGAATAAAATATCTGATAATCCAAT
This sequence comes from Homo sapiens, assembly GCF_000001405.40. Taxonomy (NCBI): domain Eukaryota; kingdom Metazoa; phylum Chordata; class Mammalia; order Primates; family Hominidae; genus Homo; species Homo sapiens. The sequence goes on along the minus strand of NC_000024.10, from coordinate 5,445,841 downwards.
TTTCTCCGTAAAATTTCCCCAATCTATTATGGTATATATTGATTTTTGCTTTTCATAACTTCAATATCATAATTTGTAACAGAAAATTTGGTGCTTAAATATGTACTGTCTTGTATTGACTATACTATTTCCTTTTTTATATTCATATTTTTTCCCAACGAAACCAAAAGTTTTTTGATGGCAGGCAAAAAGTTTTATGCATTTTCTTTTGGTATACCATAGCTAGCATAGGCAGTTACCACAAGAGTCAGGACATTCTAGGCAATTTAAAAACAAAGAAAGAAGTAAAAGCAGAAGAAGGAAGAGGAGGAGGAGGAGGAGGAAAAGGAGGAGGAGGAAGAGGAGGGCGAAAAGGAAGGAAGGAAGAAGAAGAGGAAGAAGAAGAAGAAGAGGAAGAGGAAGAGGAAGAAGAAGAAGAGGAAGAAGAAAGAGGAGGAGGAGGAGGTGGAAAGAAAAAATCAGCTCATGAATGATATCAAGACAGGAAACGGGCATTTAATGACTACTGTTTTGCAAGGGATTCAGACATTCCTACAAAGCTAAATTGTAAGGTTGATGAAAACATCATTTAAGATGTAGCCTATCATAATTATTTGTACAAAAGTATTTTTAAAAGCTTTATTAAGTTTTAATTAACATACAGTAAACTGCACATATTTAAAATGCACAACATATGTTTTGAAGTATGTATACACTCATGAAACCACTACTACAGTCTAGACAGTGAACACATCCTGACCCTCAACAGTTTCCTTGCGCCTCTTTGTAATCCTTCACTCTCACTCTTGAACATTTTCATTTCTCAAGAAAGCATCGATTGGCTTTCTGACATAATAGCTTAGTTTTCAGGCTCTGGAGTTTTACATAAGTTGATTCATACAGTATGCATGCTTGTTTGGTATCTGGCTTCATTCACTCAGGATAATTATATGCATATTCCTCCATGTTGCTGCCTGTATCAATAGTTTGTTACTTTTTACTGATGAATAGAAATCTATTTAATTGGCTTGCTACAATTTGTTTATTAATTTTACTGTTGATGGACACTTCGGATGTGCCTAGACTTCAACTATAATAAAACTGCTATGAATGGGTCTGCACAAGTCTTTTTAGTTTCATTTCTCTTGGGTAAATGAATAAGGATGGAATGACTAGGTCATGTAGTAGGAGTAGGTTTAACTTTATTAGAAACTGACCAACTGTTTTCCAACATGTTCAATTTTACATTTCCACCAGCAGTGTAAGAGAGTTTCAGTTGCTCCACATCTTCACCAATACTTGATACAAAGAATCAATTTAATTTTAAGTATTCTAAATGTTATTTTATTTTGCATTTCCCTGATGATTAGTAATGTGCACGTTTTAATGTGCTTGTTTTTCATCCATATATCTTCTTTGTTGAAATGACTGTTCACAGTTCTTTTAACATTTTTAATTAGGTTGATAATTTTCTTCTGACACAGGTTTGAGAGTACTTTATATTTTCTGGATAAAAATTCTTTAGCAAATATGAGATTTTCAAATATTTCTCTTTCTTTGTGGTTTGTCTTTTCATTCTAAGTTTTTTTTTTTAATTTTTAATTTGCGGGTATATAGTAGGTGTATATATTTATGGGTTACATGAGATATTTTGACACAGGCATATAATGCATAATAATCACATCAGAGTAAATGGGGTATCCATCACCTCAAGCATTTATCCTTTCTTTGTGTTACAAACAATCCAATTATACTCTTTTAGTTATTTGTAAATGTTCAATAAATTATTGTTGAGTGTAGCCATACTGTTGTGCTAACACATGCTAGATGATATTCATTTTATTTATCTATATTTGTGTACCCATTAACCATCCTTACTTCCCCCCAGCCACGACCCTTCCCAGCTTCTGGTAGACATAATTCTACTCTTTATCTCCATGAGTTCAATTGTTTTAAATTTTTAGCTCTCACAAATAAGTGAGAACATGTGAAGTTTGTCTTTCTGTGCCTGGCTTATTTCACTTAACATAATAACCTCCACGTCTATCCATGTTGATGCAAAAACTGGATCTCATTCCTTTTTCTGGCTAAATAGTACTCCATTGTATATATGTGCCACATTTTCTTCATCCCTTTGTCTGTTGATAGACACTTAAGTTGCTTCCAAATCTCAGCTATTCTGAATTGTCCCACAATAAACATGGGAGTACAGACATCTTTTTGATGTACTCATTTCTTTCTTTTGAATGTGGATCTAGCAGAGAGATTGCTAAATCATATGGTAGTTCTATTTTTAGTTTTTTGACAAACCCTCTAATTGATCTCCATAGTGGTTGTGAGAAGGGACATTCTTGCCTTGTTCCTGATCCTTAAGTAAAAGCATTCAGTCTTATCATGTAGTATTATGCTGGCCATAGGTTTTTCAGATATGCTTTATTATGTTGCAACGCTTCTCTTCTAGTCCTAGTCTGCTGACAGTTTCTACAACAAGTAAATGTTAGATTTTGTCATATTATTCTTCTGCATCTATTGAGATACTTATATGATTTTTCTTTTTTAGTCTGTTAATATCATGAATTGCACTGATAGATTTTTGAATGTTAAACAAATCTTTCATTCCTATAATAAACCCCACTTGTTCATGAAATAGTATCCTTTTCGTATACTGTTGGATTTGACTCACCAAATATTCATTAAGAATTTTTACATCCATATTCATAAAGGATATTGGTGTGCAAGCTTTCTTCTCTTCAAATATTTGTTTCTGGTTTTGGTATCAGAGTCTAATTCCAGTTTCAAGGAATGAGTTGGGGTATAGTTTTCTCTTTTGATAATTGTTTTTGGAGTTTGTATAGAATTGGTGTTATTTAGTCCTTAAATATTTGGTAGAATTTCCTAGTGAAGCCACCTAAGCTTGGAGTATTCTTTTTGAGAGGATTTATTTTAGTAATAAATTCAATTTCTTTAAGTGATATAGGGCTACTCAAGCTATTTCTTCCTGATTGGACTTTGGTAGTGTTTTCTCTTCCAAGTAATTTGCATATTTCATCAAAGTTGTCAAACGTATACAGTATAAATATTAATACTCCCTTTTTATACTTTTAATATCTGCAGTGATATCATCTCTTAATCCAAATACTATTAATTTTCTTCTCTCTTTTTAAATCTTATCAGTTTGCCTAGAGTTTTACCAATGTTATTAATTTTCTCAAAATACTAGCTTTTGGTTTCACTAATTTTCTCCATTGTTTTTTGGCTTTTGATTTCATTGATTCATGCTCTAATTTGTATTACTTTTTTTCTTCTGCTTAATTTGGTTTTCTTTTGCTCTTCTCCTGGTTTCTCACTGTGGAACCTTAGATAGTTAATTTGAGATCTTCTTGTCTAATATTGTAATTTTATGCCATAAATTTCCCTATAAGCACTGACCAGGGACCCTAGCCACCTTGACCTCCCTGGGCTCACAATTCCAGGAGATGAATTTACTACGAGGGCCCAATCATGCTCTATTTGGGTTCCCTCTCCCTGTGCTAAAGGATAGAAATTATATGCAAGCAATAAGCTAAGGCAAGAGTAACTATTGTTTCATTTATGTTCTATTTCTTAAGTATCATTATTCATGTACCTTTATGTATGATATGTTGAGAACCATTGTTTCATACATTTTGTTTGGTTTCTTTGTTGTTTCAGGTGAAGGGTAAATTCACTCCCTGACACTTAATCTTCACAAGAAATAGAAATTTCAAATGATTTCATTACTTGTACTTCTTTAAAAGTAATTATTACTTTAAGTGGCTTTCTGAAAAATTTTTAAACAGGACATTTTTTAATAACACATTCCATGATCAGATCATGTAAGTTATGTC